>NC_000021.9:45622712-45776607 GCF_000001405.40 Homo sapiens
GCTTTCAAGCCCGTGTGGGCCCCCAAGGCAGATCTAGCTGCCAGCCTGTGGCCAAAGGGTGGCTGTTTCCAAAACGTGGCAGACAGGCCACCGCAATGATGCTTCACGGCCCTAGGGTCAGGTCGAGGAGTGACGGCAAGAATCCCCAGTGTCCTCCTGCAGATGAGGCTCTGCTGTCTCAGCCCCGTCTTCCCCGCAGTCCCCACACCCCTCACTGCATGGCTCATCTCATGCCCCAGGCTTATTCAGGCTTCGCGCTCCAGGCCCTGCATCCCACGGCTTCCTTCTGGGTTCAGTTTCCTTCTTGCTGGGCCATAACGTTCAGTGGTCACTCTGAACCGACACTGACCCCAGCTCCCGGCTGGATGACAGTTCAGCTGGGCCCGTTCTCAGGGGCCCGCTCCCCTCCTGGGCCCGTGCTCAGGGGCCGGCTCCCCTCCTGGCGGGGAAGATGTCGCTCTTTCTCTGGCATCTGAGGCACTGCTGGCCCCTCCTGTCGCTCTGGTCCTTCCTCCTTGACGGCATTTACCTTTTCTCTCCAGTTACCTTCAAGCTCCTCTCCACTTTTGAGATTCTGTGTTTTAATCTTGCCAAAGCCTCAGGGTGCTGCTTTCCTCTTTTTCTGTCTTTAGTCATTTTCTGTTACAGGCTGAACGGTGTCCTCCCCCTCCCCAAATTCCTGTGTTGAAGTCCTAATCCCCAGACCTCAGAATGGGACTGTATCAGGAGATGGGTCATTGATTTAAAATGGGGATGTTAGGGTGAGCCTAACCCAGTGTGACTGATGCCCTTAGAGGAAGAAGGGATGAGGACACAGACACGCAAGAGGGATGGCCCTGTGAGGACACAGGGAGAAGATGCCATCTGCAAGCCCAGGGGAGAGGTCCCAGAGGAACTGGCCCCATGGCACCCTGACCTTGGACTTCCAGCCTCCGGGACAATGTGCCTCGTTTAAGCCGCCCCGTCTGTGGCACTTCTCATGGCAGCCCAAGTAGACAAAAGCATTTCACATTCTGGAGAATTTTGAGTCACCATCTCCTTGAACCTCACCTTCTTCCCTCTCTCATCACTGCCTGCTGTGGTTCATATACGTGTCCCCCAGATTCATGTGTGGGAACCCGAGCTAGCGTTAAGAAATGGGGCTTTTGGAGGTCATTAGGCCACGAGGACTCTGCCCTCAGGAGTGACATTTCTTTCCTTTTCCTTTTTGGAGACAGAGTCTCATTCTGTTGCCCAGGCTGGAGTGCATTGGTGCAATCCTGGCTCACTGCAGCCTTGACCTCCTGGGTTCAAGTGATCCTCCGACCTCAGCCTCCTGAATAGATAGGACTACAGCACGCACCACCATACCTGGCTAATTTAAAAATCTTTTTTTTTTTTTTTTTTTGAGAGATGGAGTTTCATTCTTGTTGCCCAGGCTGGTGTGCAATGGCAAGATCTCAGCTCACTGCAACCTCCGCCTCCTGGGTTCAAGTGATTCTTCTGCCTCAGCCTCCCGAGTAGCTGGGATTACAGGCATGCACCACCACACCCTGCTAATTTTGTATTTTTTTAGTAGAGACGGGGTTTCTCCATGTTGGTCAGGCTGGTCTTGAACTCCTGACCTCAGGTGATCTACCCGCCTCAGCCTCCCAAAGTGCCGAGATTACAGGTGTGAGCCACTGTGCCCAGCCTAATTTTAAAATTTTCTGTAGAGACAGGGTCTTACTATGTTGCCCAGGCTGACAGATGAGGTGAGTGCCTTATAAAAAGGCTGAAAAGAACTGGCTGGGCCCTTTTTGCCCTTGCATCATCCACCACATGAGGACGCAGCCACAGGGCACCGTCTTGGAAGCAGAGACAGTCCTCACCAGACACCAAACTTGCCGGCACCTTGATCTTGGACTTCCCACCTCCAAA
Source organism: Homo sapiens (assembly GCF_000001405.40). Taxonomy (NCBI): domain Eukaryota; kingdom Metazoa; phylum Chordata; class Mammalia; order Primates; family Hominidae; genus Homo; species Homo sapiens. Next base: position 45,624,612 of record NC_000021.9, read on the forward strand.
CTGTGAGCCATAAACTCATGCTGTTTACAGCTCGCCCAGCCTCAGGTGTTTTGTTACAGCAGCGGGAACTGACAGATGCTGCCTCTGCTACATGGCTCATTCTGCTTTTCACATCTCGTCCTGACCCAGATCCTGAATATTTTAAGGCTTTTCTCTGCTGTTTTCTGGATAATTTTCTCATCTCTGCATTCTAGCTTGTTTGTTCTCATTTCTACGGTGTCTCATCTGGTTGTCGCCTTTCCTTTAAGTTCTGTGATTATGTTGTTCATTTCTAAACCATTTGTTTATTCGTGTTGCCCTTGATTTTATTATTGTTTTGATTCTTTAGTGCATCTTTAGCTCTGGAGGACACAAAACTTACATTCCTCAACCTGTGATGCTTTCTCACGTGTTTCTCTCCCTCGCGGAGCTTGGACATCGTTAGAACAAGCCCGTCTTTCAGGTTGCAGGAGTTTCCTTCCAGGGAGACATGTATTTGCTTCCTTCCAGGCACCAGAGACTTCAATCACATTAAACAAGTTTTCATTTTACTTTCTTCGCTGAGATTTCCACACACCAAGAGTGAGTGGAAATTCAGATTTCATATTGTCCCATGTCACACAAGGGTGAGTGGAAATTCAGATTTCATGTTGTCCCATGTCACACAAGGGTGAGTAGAAATTCAGATTTCATATTGTCCCATGTCACACAAGGGTGAGTGGAAATTCAGATTTCATATTGTCCCGTGTCACACAAGGGTGAGTGGAAATTCAGATTTCATATTGTCCCGTGTCACACAAGGGTGAGTGGAAATTCAGATTTCATATTGTCACATGTCACACAAGGGTGAGTGGAAATTCAGATTTCACATTGTCACATGTCACATATTCATTTATCTCTTTGGGGAGCTTTTTTTTTTTCATTAATATCTCTAGGCAGAGGGAAAATGTCTTTGCTGATATTTTAGAGCAGAGGGTGAAACTTACCTAGTCTTTTTTTCATGGATGAGATGGCCCTTCAGGGTCTTGACCTTGCCAGTATCCTTAGCTGGGTGCGGTGGTGCACACCTGTGGTCCCAGCTACTCAGGAGGCTGAGGTGGGAGGATCGCTTGTGCCCAGGAGGTCAAGGCTGCAGTGAGCCATGATTGTGCCACTGCACTCCAGCCCGGGCAGCAGAGCAAGACCCTGTCTCAAAAAAATAAAGAAAGAAAAGAAATGTCATGGATGAGGGCAGAGCCCTCGTGGCCTAATGACCATATAGGAGGCTGCTGTCCCTGCTGTGGCAGCCAGGGCCATCTCTTTTACCCCATCTGAAATAAAACCCAACCCTCACCCCTCCAGGGCCTGTTTCTGATCCCTCTTCCCTGAGGGCTGCTTCCAGCATCAGCTCCCATGACAACTGGGGCTGTGACATCTTGCTTAGTTTGGGCACTAATGAAGTTCTCTTTCTTTTTAAATCTTTTTTATTTTACTTTAAGTTCTGGGATACATGTGCAGAACATGCAGGTTTGTTACATAGGTATACATGTGCCATGGTGGTTTGCTGCACCTACTGACCCATCCTCTAGCTTCCCTCCCCTCGCCCCCCACCCCCCAACAGGCTCCAGTATGTGTTGTTTCCCTCCCTGTGTCCATGTGTTCTCATTGTTCAGCTCCCACTTATGAGTGAGAACATGCAGTGTTTGGTTTTCTGGTACTGTGTTAGTTTGCTGAGAATGATGGCTTCCAGCTTCATCCATGTCCCTGCAAAGGACATGATCTCATTCCTTTTTGTGGCTGCATAGTATTCCATGGTGTATATGTGCCACATTTTCTTCATCCAGTCTATCATTGATAGGCATTTGGGTTGGTTCCATGTCTTCGCTATTGTAAATAGTGCTGCAATAAGCATATATGTGCAGGTGTCTTTATAGTAGAATGATTTGCAATCCTTTGGGTATATATCCAGTAATGGGATTGCTGGATCAAATGGTATTTCTGGCTCTAGATCCTTGAGGAATCGCCACACTGTCTTCCACAATGGTTGAACTAATTTACATTCCCACCAACAGTGTAAAAGTTTCCTATTTTTCCACAGTCTCTCCAGCATCTATTGTTTCTTGGCTTTTTAATAATCCCTGTTCTGACTGGTGTGAGATGGTATCTCATTGTGGTTTTGATTTTCATTTCTCTAATGATCAGTGATGTAGAGCCTTTTTTTAAATATGTTTGTTGGCTGCATAAATGTCTTCTTTTGAGAAGTGTCTGTTCATATCCTTTACCCACTTTTTGATGGGAGGTTTTTTTTCTTGTAAATTTGTTTAGGTTCCTTGTAGAGTCTGGATATTAGACCTTTGTTAGATGGGTAGATTGCAAAAATTTTCTCCCATTCTGTAGGTTGCCTGTTCACTCTGATGATAGTTTCGTTTGCTTTGCAGAAGCTCTTTAGTTTAATTCCATCCCATTTGTCAACTGTGGCTTTTGTTGCAATTGCTTTTGGCATTTTTCTCATGAAGTCTTTGCCCATTCCTATGTTCTGAATGGTATTGCCTAGGTTTTCTTCTAGGGTTTTTATGGTTTGGGGTTTTACATTTAACTCTTTAATACATCTTGAATTAATTTTTGTATAAGATGTAAGGAAGGGATCCAGTTTCAGTTTTCTGCATATGGCTAGCTAGTTCTTCCTGCACCATTTATTGAATAGGAAATACTTTCCCCATTGCTTGTTTTTGTCAGGTTTGTCGAAGATCAGATGGTTGTAGATGTGTGGTGTTATTTCTGAGGTCTCTGTTCTGTTACATTTGTCTATTTGTCTGTTTTGGTATAAGTACTATGCTGTTTTGGTTACTGTAGCCTTATAGTATAGTTTGAAATCAGGTAGTGGGATGCCTCCAGCTTTGTTCTTTTTGCTTAGGATTGTTTTGGCTATATGGGCTCTTCTTTGGTTCCATAAGAAATTTAGGCCGGGCATGGTGGCTCATGCATGTAATCCCAACAATTTGGGAGGCCAAGGTGATCGGATCATTTGAGGTCAGGAGTTCAAGACCAGCCTGGCCAACATGGTGAAAGCCCATCTCTACTAAAAATACAAAAATTAGCCGGGTGTGGTGGCAGGCACCTGTAGTCCCAGCTACTTGGGAGGCTGAGGCAGGAGAATCACTTAAGCCTGGGAGGCAGAGGTTGTGGCGAGCCGAGATCACGCCACTGCACTCCAGTCTAAGTGACAGAGCAAGACTCGTCTCAAAAAAAAAAAAAAGAAAGAAAGAAAAAATAAATTTAAAGTTTTTTTTTCTAATTCTGTGAAGAATATCAATGGTAGTTTAATGGGAATAGCATTGAATCTATAAATTACTTTGGGCAGTATGGCCATTTTCATGATATTGATTCTTCCTATCCATGAGCATGGAATGTTTTTCCATTTGTTTGTGTTCTCTCTTATTTCCTTGAGCAGTGGGTTGTAGTTCTCCTTGAAGAGGTCCTTCACTTCCCTTATTAGCTGTATTCCTTGGTATTTTATTTTCTTTGTAGCAATTGTGAGTGGGAGTTCATTCATGATTTGGCTCTCTGTTTGTCTATTATTGGTGTATAGGAATGCTTGTGTTTTTTGCACTTTGATTTTGTATCCTGAGACTTTGCTGAAGTTGCTTATTAGCTTAAGGAGATTTTGGGCTGAGACGATGGGGTTTTCGAAATTTAAGGAGGGAATCCTCCCTAACTCTTTTGGTATCATCCTGATACCAAAACCTGGCAGAGACACAACAAAAAAAGGAAGCTTCAGGGCAATATCCCTGATGAACATCGATGTGAAAATCTTCAATAAAATACTGGCAAACCAAATCCAGCAGCACATCAAAAAGCTTATCCACCATGATCAAGTCGGCTTCATCCCTGGGATGCAAGGCTGGTTCAACATATGCAAATCAATAAACATAATCCATCACATAAATATAACCAAAGACAAAACCACATGATTATCTCAAAAGATGCAGAAAAGGCCTTTGATAAAATTCAACATCCTTCATGTTAAAAACTCTCAATAAACTAGGTATCGACAGAACATATCTCAAAATAATAAGAGCTATTTATGACAGAGCCACAGCCAATATCATAGTGAACGGGCAAAAGCTGGAAGCATTCCCTTTGAAAACTGGCACAAGACAAGGATGCCCTCTCTCACCACTCCTATTCAACATAGTATTGGAAGTTCTGGCCAGGGCAATTGGCAAGAGAAAGACATAAAGCATATTCAAATAGGAAGAGAGGAAGTCAAATTGTCTCTGTTTTCCGACACCATGATTCTGTATCTTTCTTTCTTTTGAACAAGGCTGGATAGCCAACACTTTATTATGGTGTTTGTATATTGTTAGCCTAGCTCCCTGAGCAAACAGAACCTGAGGCAAAAGTCTTGTGCCTGTATTTTTCTGGGGAGTGCAATCCCAGGAAACAGGAGTGGGAAGAGGGGACTGAGGCAAGAAAGGGAGGAAGGTGACTCTCAGGGAGGTCACTGTCCACTGCCGGCTGACGTCTGGCTCCATGCTTCTCCTCAGGGACTGCGTGAAGCTCCTGCATCTCTGATCAGTGGAGCAGGGAGAGGAGTGGGACAGGGCGGACATGCCAGTTCCTGTTGCTGGCCTCATTTCACCTCAGACTCTGCGTGCAGGTGGCAGACAGCTTCCGATGCATCTCCCCCATCACAGGCAATAAGAGAGCCCTGAGAAACTAAGCAAGAGGCCTCCAGCGCTATCGGAGCTGGGTGTTGTTGGGTTTGTTGATACCTGATGGGTGGGCCCAGAAACAGCTCTCCAGGGACCCAGGAACTGGCCATGGCTGCAGGAGCAACAGCAGCCACCTAGCTGTGCACACAGGAGCCGGGAGGGATGTTCGCAATGGCTGCTCAAGCCGGACAGCAAGGCGACCATGCCAGCCTCAGTGACCTGAACGGAACCCGAGACGTGCATGCAGGAGCCGGGAGGGACGTTCGCAATCGCTGCTCAAGCCCGACAGCAAGACGACCATGCCAGCCTCAGTGACCTGAACGGAACCCGAGACAGTCCACCCCGCAAGTCTCACCCAGGAACAGATGGCCCTGGAACTGATGACAGCCTACCCTGCGTGTCTCACCTGGGAATGGATGGCCCTGGAACCGATGACAGCCCACCCCACGTGTCTCACCCGGGAATGGACAGCCCTGGTTCCTGAGGGGTGGTGCAAGTGCAATTTCTCCAGGGGTTCTCTGGTTGTAATCTACTGAAAAGCCATTAAAAGGGCTGCCGCATCAGGCTATGGTCCCTGCTGACACCGCTAATCCTGGGGCCAAACCCCATACTATCCTCTCCTTGCCCTCCCCACATCCTAGACTGGCCTCCCTCAGCTGAGCCTTGGTCTGAACTGTTCGCCCCATGGCACCCAGGCCTCGGTCATCCTGCATTGGATGGGCCATGGTTGCTGTGATTACAGCTGCCACTCAGTGCAGATCCCGAAGTGCCCCAGCAAGCTGTCAGCTGCAGGCATTCCCCTCGTTGGCCCCGTGGTACAGAAGCAAGCCTCGATCTCCACGGTGTTCAGAGCCTGCCCACTCCCCATCTCCATGTTGTTCAGAGTCTGGCCCCCCCACCCCTATCTCCACCGTTTTCGGAGCCTGGCCCCCACCATCTCCATGATGTTCGAAGCCTGGCCCCCTCATCCTGATCTCCACAGTGTTCTGAGCCTGGCACCCCCCCAACCCCAGAGATCTCCATGGTGTTCAGAGCCTGGCCCTTTCACAGGTACGGTAAGTGCATGTGTGGCTTGCCCACTGGCACGAGGAGGCCAAAGTGGCCAAATGGTGGTCATGGCTTCTAGTCTTGCAGCAACCTGTGTACGCTGGCAGGAGCCTCCCCTCAACCAGGGGGTCAAGGGTTCCAGTCCAAGAGAGCCTCAGACTTCAGCCCCAGGAAGCACAGCCATGCAAGCCGTTCACCGTGTGTGCTGGGGAGGGGCCAAACTGGCTTCTGTCCCTGGGGTCCTCAGAGCTTTGTATGCAAGGTCCCAGGGACACGGGATCATTTCCTGACCATGGGCTCAGCACGGATCCTACGTCCTGGAGTGCAGTTCCTGGGCCAGACGGGCCCAGGCTTTCTTAGAGCTGCCGCCCATGCCGGGCCATTCGCAAGTCTCCCTTCACTGGTAGGCTGACTGCTTCTGGGTGATGGGTCTGTGGTAACGCCAGTGAATTCCATGGTCAAGTGCCCGTCATCAGACCTTCTTTACCTTGAAGAGGTCTCTGGGTGCAAGGCAGGTGCTTTGTGAAATACTGTCATAAATGTTTAATGCAGCATAAGGAGCCACCTACGAACTTAGTGGCCTGAAACCCCAATGTGTTATCTCTCACTGTGCTGGGGGCCGGCAGGATCAGCCCGGTGTTCTGTTCTCATGTTGGTCCTTCACATGGGTGCAGTCAGATGGCGGCCGAGGCTGGAATCATCCGAAAGCTTCTTCACTGGGACGCGGTCAGATGGCGGCCGAGGCTGGAATCGTCCGAAAGCTTCTTCACTGGGATGCGGTCAGATGGCGGCCGAGGCTGGAATCGTCCGAAAGCTTCTTCACTGGGACGCGGTCAGATGGTGGCCGAGGCTGGAATCGTCTGAAAGCTTCTTCACTGGGACGCTGTATCTGCTGCAGGGATCTCTCCTTCTATGAAGCCCCTCCCTTTGTCCAGCTGGGGTTTCCTCACGGCATGGTAAGGCCAGCACAGTTGGATCTTATGTGCTGGCTGGCTTTTCCCAGAGTGAGCAATCCCAGAGGGAAGAATTTGAAGGTCGACCCCAGAAATGGCACAGCATTGCTTCTACTATACTGTATTGGCCAAAGAACCCGCCCAGTTTCAAAGACAAGGAACACAGGTTTCACCTTTTGATGGGAGGGCTGTCAAAGAATTTGTGAGCGTCTTTAATCTTCTATGTCAGCAAGTCAGTGAGGTTCAAATTCTGAAAGCCACTGCCAGGGGAGCTGGAAGACACAGGGAGGGTGGGAAGACAGCCCCACACCCCGAGTGCGGGTCAAGTTCTGTAAGGATGAGTTGCCCTCTCCTCCAAGGCGAGAGGAGTTTGAGGTCATTGGTTTGCCTCCACGAGGCAGGCTGGTCTCCCCCAAGAGCAGGGCCAGGTCAGAAACGGTGCTGGTCCGTGCTCTAGCAAGCCAGCCTTGATGAGGAGACCCATGCTGCTGGGCCCAGGCCAAGCTTTCAGCCTTTCTCTCTGGTGTGCTCTGTTCCTGGCTCAGTTGGCTGATGGCACAGGCTGGCTCGTGGCCACTGTCCGGCCATCCAGTCAGCCTGGTGGCCTATTGCGTCCTCTGCAGGAGATGCTTCCTGGCGTGTGTTAACGTAAGACACAAATGCCTCCATGTGTGGGGCCCTCTTTTGTAGGACCACCTGCCTGCCTCTTCCCTCACATTTATTATTTCCAATGTTCTGATCTTGCTCCTTTTGGGTTGCTTGCCTAGGAGCCTGTGAAGATACTTACCATGCGGTGTTTAGCATTTGTTCCACAGAACTGTGGCCTTGAGTGCTGTGTGCACAGCTCTGACCAGGAGGACTTCCTGCACCCAGAGGGGTCGTAGGGTGGCAGCATCCATGCCCAGCTGGAACCAACATATTGTGCTGCTGCATCTGTGTTTCTGGCTAGAAACGTGGCAGTGTTTCCGTCTTCCTCTATCAGTTACCACAGGGAACCCCCGCGAGAGTGTGGCTATAATCAGACAAAGAGTAACGGTGCATGGGGGCAGACAGCACAGACTCCGCAGCACCCGGAATGCACCTGTGTCCTCTGAACCTGCTCAGGCTGTTTCCCTTGTGCGCTGGGCTGTCCCTGCAGTCACCCACCTGTGGCTCGGTGCACTGATGATAGCCAGCTCACATGGCAGCTCTGCTCACACAGTCACTTGACCGTTGAGTTGCGTAGTCAGTCTCTGCTAACGCCAAGCATGCCCACAGTTGCTTTTGAAATGGAGGGTGGTTCTTTGGCACTGAAGGCACGGCCTTGCTTGATAACTCCAAGGGATGTTCTGTGACTGTCATATCAGTATTCACCAGAAGCACTGCCATGCTGTTCTCTCCACAGGAACTTCCAGAACCATTGACTCTGCTGATCCCACAGAACAAGTGGCTCAACAGCTTGCACTGTGGCCTGGACCTGATGCGGAGCCTTCCCTTGCTCTGCGTCCCACTGGAAACAGGTACTTTCTGGCTCTGATACTAGGTGGGTTGGAACTCGTTCCAGTTGTGGCATACGCTATCTCTGAAATCTAGAGGCCCACCAAAGCCGGTGCCTCCTTCTTAAAGGAAGAAGATTCAAGGTGCAACAACTTGCCATTTACATAGAAGACATGTCCTGGCATGCCCTGAGTCACTAGATCCCCCAGGTCTTCACTCCTGGGTAGGTCCCTGAGTCTTCCTGGGGGTTGGCTCCCAGTGTCCCGTGCACAGGTATTTCCTAGGGCAGATAGGACACCCCCGTGTTCTGCTCACCAGGCCCAGTTAGGATGCAGCAATGCAGCAGCCCCCAGCCTTCAAGGCCCTGTGGACTACACCCTCGGTAGTCCGAGAGCAGCGCGGGGCTGGGAGCCTGTGCTGCCGTTCCGGCCACGCCGGTGAAGCGCTTCCGGTCCCCGTGCTGGTGGGACTGAGGAGAGCGCCGTGCTGCCGTTCCGGCCACGCCGTGAAGCGCTTCCGGTCTCCGTGCTGGTGGGACTGAGAAGAACGCCGTGCTGCCGTTCCGGCCACGCCGGTGAAGTGCTTCCGGTCCCCGTGCTGGTGGGACTGAGAAGAACGCCGTGCTGCCGTTCTGGCCACGCCGTGAAGCGCTTCCGGTCTCCGTGCTGGTGGGACTGAGAAGAACGCCGTGCTGCCGTTCCGGCCACACCAGAGAAGTGCTTCCGGTCTCCGTGCTGGTGGGACTGAGGAGAACGCCGTGCTGCCGTTCCGGCCACGCCGTGAAGCGCTTCCGGTCCCCGTGCTGGTGGGACTGAGAAGAACGCCGTGCTGCCGTTCCGGCCACGCCGGTGAAGTGCTTCCGGTCCCCGTGCTGGTGGGACTGAGGAGAACGCCGTGCTGCCGTTCTGGCCACGCCGTGAAGCGCTTCCGGTCTCCGTGCTGGTGGGACTGAGAAGAACGCCGTGCTGCCGTTCCGGCCACACCAGAGAAGTGCTTCCGGTCTCCGTGCTGGTGGGACTGAGGAGAACGCCGTGCTGCCGTTCCGGCCACGCCGTGAAGCGCTTCCGGTCTCCGTGCTGGTGGGACTGAGAAGAACGCCGTGCTGCCGTTCCGGCCACGCCGGTGAAGCGCTTCCGGTCTCCCTGCTGGTGGGACTGAGGAGAGCGCCGTGCTGCCGTTCCGGCCACGCCGTGAAGCGCTTCCGGTCTCCGTGCTGGTGGGACTGAGAAGAACGCCGTGCTGCCGTTCCGGCCACGCCGGTGAAGTGCTTCCGGTCCCCGTGCTGGTGGGACTGAGAAGAACGCCGTGCTGCCGTTCTGGCCACGCCGTGAAGCGCTTCCGGTCTCCGTGCTGGTGGGACTGAGAAGAACGCCGTGCTGCCGTTCCGGCCACACCAGAGAAGTGCTTCCGGTCTCCGTGCTGGTGGGACTGAGGAGAACGCCGTGCTGCCGTTCCGGCCACGCCGTGAAGCGCTTCCGGTCTCCGTGCTGGTGGGACTGAGAAGAACGCCGTGCTGCCGTTCCGGCCACGCCGGTGAAGCGCTTCCGGTCTCCCTGCTGGTGGGACTGAGGAGAGCGCCGTGCTGCCGTTCCGGCCACGCCGTGAAGCGCTTCCGGTCCCCGTGCTGGTGGGACTGAGAAGAACGCCGTGCTGCCGTTCCGGCCACGCCGGTGAAGCGCTTCCGGTCTCCCTGCTGGTGGGACTGAGGAGAACGCCGTGCTGCCGTTCCGGCCACACCAGAGAAGTGCTTCTGGTCCCCGTGCTGGTGGGGATTGAGGAGAACACGGGTACAGCTCCACAGCTACCTTTCCCGGGCCAGAGGCTGGGCGGATCTGCCCCAGGGAAGACCCCACATCTGCTGCGGCGGCTGCAGTCCGGCTCCTTGAGGCTGGTTTCCTGTCCCCTCCTTCCCACTACGTCCCCTTCCCACCAAAGCAGTGACATCAGCTCCATCTAGTTTGAAAACAGAGGCTGGTTTGAGGGCTGGAGCCAATTAGTTATCACATTAAAATGTGTGCTATCCCTGGGGAACTTCTTGCAAGGTTTCACTTCTTTTCTTTTTTCAAAGAATCGCACTCTTGTTGGCGGGGACCAGCAGAAGACGGAGACGTTTTTCCATAACCGGCTGCTGCTGTGGGAGCCGTGGGCTGGGAATGCAGCCGAGTCTCCTCTGGGGCATGTGGGTCTCCGAGGCTGGAGTTCTCAGACGGTGTGTGTGCATGTGTATGTGCTGTGGAATCTGTGTGGAGTGTGTATGTGTGTGATGTGCTTCTGTGTGATGTATGTGTGTGTGGTGTGTGTGTATGTATGTGTGAGGTATGTGTGTTGCGTGTGATATGTATATGTGTGATGTATGTTTGTATGTGATGTATGTGTGTGGTGTGTATGCATGTGTGGTGTGTGTATGTGTGTGTGATGTGTATGTGTGTATGGTGTACGTGTGTGTGTAGTATATGTGTGTTTGTGATATGTATTTGTGTGATGTTTGTGTATGATGTGTGTGATATGTATGTGATATGTATGTCTGTGATGTGTTTGTGTGTGATGTATGTATGGTGTGTATATGTGTGATGTATGTGTGGTATGTGATGTATGTGTGTGATGTGTGGTGTGTATGTGTGTGATATGTGTGTGGTGTGTGTACTATGTGCGTATGTGTGTGCTATGTGTATGTGTGGTGTGTCTAATTCATAGTATGTGTATGTGTGTGTGGTGTGTGTGATATGTGTGTGATGTGTTTGCATGTAATGTGTGGGGTATGTGATATACATGTATGTGTGTGGCATGTGTGATATGTGCTTGTGCATGTGTGCAGTGTGTGGTGTGTGTGTATGTGAATGTGTGTGGCGTGTATGTGTGTGGTAAACAGGTGTATGTGTGTGATGTATGTACACATGATATGTGTATGTGTGTATGTGTATTCATATGATGTGTGTGGTGTGTGTGAATGTGTGTGATATGTGTGTGATGTGTATGTGTATATGTGTGGTGCGTGTGCATGTGATATGTGTATATGTGTGATGTGTGTGGTGTGCATATGTGTGATATGTGTAAATGTGTGATGTGTATTTGGTGTGTGCATGTGGTGTGTGAATGTGTGTGATGCGTGGTGTGGTGTGTGAATGTGTGCGATGTGTATGTGGTGTGTGTGATATGTGTATGTGTGGGGTGGTGTGTGTGTGATGTGTGTGTGGTGTGTGTGATGTGTGTGTGACGTCTGTGTGGTGTGTGTGTGATGTGTGTGGTGGTGTGTGTGTGGTGTGTGTGATATGTGTATGTGTGTGGTGTGGTGTGTGTGATATGTGTATATGTGTGACGTGTGTGTGGTGTGGTGCATGTGATATGTGTATGTGATGTGTGTGGTGTGTGTGTGATGTGTGGTGTGTGTGTGTGTGATATGTGTATGTGTGTGATGTGTGTGGTGTGTGATGTGTGTGTGGTGGCATGTGTGTGGTGTGTGTGTGATGTGTGTGGTGGCGTGTGTGGTGTGTGTGATGTGTGTGTGGTGTGGTGCATGTGATATGTGTATGTGTGTGGTGTGTGTGTGATGTGTGTGGTGGTGTGTGTGTGGTGTGGTGCATGTGATATGTGTATGTGTGTGTTGTGTGTGGTGTGTGTGTGATGTGTGTGTGGTGTGTGTGTGATGTGTGTGGTCTGTGTGATGTGTGTGTGATGTGTGTGGTGTGTATGTGATGTGTGTGTGATGTGTGTGTGGTGGTGTGTGTGATGTGTGTGGTGTGTGTGTGGTGTGATGTGTGTGTGGTGGTGTGTGTTGATGTGTGTGTGGTGGTGTGCGTGGTGTGATGTGTGTGTGATATGTGTATGTGTGTGATGTGTGTAGTGGTGTGGTGTGGTGTGTGATATGTGTGTGTGATGTGTGTGGTGGTGGTGTGGTGTGTGATATGTGTATGTGTGTGATGTGTGTGGTTGTGTGTGTGGCATGATGTGTGTGTGGTGTGGTGTGTGATATGTGTATGTATGTGGTGTGTGTGTGGTGTGTGTGTGATGTGTGTGTGCGATGTGCGTGTGGTGTGCATTTGTTTGGGGGAGGGCTGTGCATTTCTGCTCTCAGCTTGGCCCCCAGCAGCCAGCAGGGACTGCTCTCCTCTGGGCCCCCACACACACGCAGTGGCGCCCCAGCTCCACACCTCTTTCCTGCATTCACGCTGCCCCCTCGCAGCCCTCCCAAAGGGCCGCCAGGCACAGGGCCATGGGCATGCTGGTGACCGGGCACAGCTTCTCCAGCCTGGAGCCTTCCCGTCCTTGGTGCCGTCCTGCACCCGCAGTCTGTGCCGGGGAGCTCAGCGCCCTGCCACTCCGTGTGTCCAGTAGCCCCCGGACCGCGGTGCTGGCATGCTGCTGCTCCACCGTGGTTGTGGTTTGGACAGGACTGCTCACAGGATCAGCACAGCATGCTCTGCCTGCCGCAGAGGGATAGCGACCCGAGAGAGAAGGAACAGCAGTAGCATCGTGCGTGGGTGCAGCAGTGGAGCCTGCTGGGGTGGAGTTGAAGCTGCTCTCTGGCAGGCCCTCTTTGAGCAGCTGACAAGCACCCTCCGTGTAGTGTCCATACCAGCAGAGTGAGTGCCACCAGCTCCTTTGGGGGCCTTTAGGCCAGAGGTGTGCAAGGGTAGACCTGCTGAGCTCCAGGAGAGAGCCTGTGTGGGCCAGGGCTGCTGACACGGCAGCCACAGAGCTGGCGGTTAGTGGGGCAGCTGTGGCATGCGGTGGGGCCGACCCCACAGAGCCTCCCTAGCTGGAGCGGCCTGGAGCACCCCTGGCTCTCCACGATGGCCGGCCCCGGGACTCGGGAGTGGACAAGCTGGAGCGCCCCTGGCTCTCCACGATGGCCGGCCCCGGGACTCGGGAGTGGACAAGCTGGAGCGCCCCTGGCTCTCCACGATGGCCGGCCCCGGGACTCGGGAGTGGACAAGCTGGAGCGCCCCTGGCTCTCCACGATGGCCGGCCCCGGGACTCGGGAGTGGACAAGCTGGAGCGCCCCTGGCTCTCCACGATGGCCGGCCCCGGGACTCGGGAGTGGACAAGCTGGAGCGCCCCTGGCTCTCCACGATGGCCGGCCCCGGGACTCGGGAGTGGACAAGCTGGAGCGCCCCTGGCTCTCCACGATGGCCGGCCCCGGGACTCGGGAGTGGACAAGCAGACTCCTCCACCTCCACCTGTCCTTTCAGTATTTAAGTGGGGACCCGCAACGGGCGGGAAAGGAGAGACCAGTGCTGACGGAGCTAGGGACGCCAACAGATGTGAGAGCCACGTCTGTGCATTTCCAGGAGGCCCCATCATCTGGATGTCAGGCAGGGAGGAAGGGAACCTGCCGTGGCAACCCACCTGCTGGGTGCATCCTGTTCTCTGGGTGTGGGACTTCTGACTCGTTCACCTGGGAGGCCAGAGGGCAGTACACACAAGCCCTCCTGACCTTGGCTTTGTTCCCAGCCTTTGATCATAGGTTTGCAAACTCCTAGGCTCCCCAGGTACCATAAACGCAGAGACTGGCCTAGTCCTAGGTGGTCCGGGGGGTGGCAATTGGGAGAGAGGGGGCTAAAAAGAAGCCTCTGTGAGCCAGACTCAGTTCCTACGCTCCCCATTTGTGACTGCAGCTACAGTGGACGGTTTTGCCCCCTTAATTTACATTTTAATGGTGTATTTCTCATGATTTATGTTCTTGAATTTTCAACATAAAACACTTATCAGAGGTCGTTGGTTGCAGGGAGACTAAATGCATGTGTATTTATTTTCCAGTCCAGTAAAGTAGGAAGGCAGGTGCTTGCTAAACTGTGGCAGAGGTGGGACACCAAGAAATTTGGGGTCCTAAGTAAATAAAGGCTTGGTGGGCTGGGCCAAGCCTGTCCCACCACTCTCTTTCTCTTACGGGAATACTCTGCTGAACAGCTCCACATGTTTAAATCCATCTCTACACTCTACAGATATTACAGAGGATTACTCATGTCAACAGAGAGGTTTCAGGTGGCCCTAATAAAAAAGCAGCAAATGGATATAAAGTCAGTCTTAAGGTGTTACTTGTCGGTAGGCAAAGCAAGGGCATCTGCAGCACGCCCCACCTGTGCTGGTCTGCCCAGCAGCTGGTGGGCTTTCTTTGTGGGATTTGGAAGCTTTGCATTTCCCCCTCCAGTCTCTTCCTGAGAACCCAGCAGAGGTTGGAGGGAGGGTGGGAGTGACGTGGTGGCTCGGCACCAAAACAAAGAGTTGTTCTAATTTTAGAGTCTTAATGGTGCCCGTTGAGGCACACAGAGAAGGGGCGGAATTCTGGCTACCTCTGAGCTGAAAGTCTTCCCAAAATAAAAGGAAGGTCTGGATGACCCGTGACGTTTCTGGTGCATGTGTGAGGTGTGTGCATTTCTTCTTTATGCAAAATATAAGAAAACTTACATATAAAAAAGACAAGGGGGGAGTGCTCTGTGTGCAGTGGGGGAGGGGCCCAGAGCAGAGGAGGACTGCTCCCCAGGGCTGAGAGGCACCTGAGGGCGCCAGGGTGGCAGCAGGAGCTCTTTCCTCCCTCTCTGTCTCTGTCTCTCTCTTTCTCTCTCTCTCTGTCAGCAGTGACTCATGGACCCCAGGGCCTGAGATGTCTATCCCAGTTGTGGAGATGCCAGTCTGAGGGGCAGGCCAAGGATTCATTTGCTTCTTAGCGTGAAGAGCTGAGAGGACACAGGACCCATCCCTCGTCCATTAGGGATCATGAGGGCAACTGGGGGAGTTCTGGGTGCTTCTCCACAGCCAGATATTAGAGACCCTGTGATTATTTTCTGCTAAAACCAGGGCACACTGCCAGAGAAGCCGATGGGCTGCTCTATGTGAGACTCCATCCAATTCACTTCCAGGATGTTTTACCCTTTGGGGCAGAGCCATCTGCTTCCGTGCATGGCTTGAATCCAGCTTACCAACATTGATAACTTTTTGTGCCTATGACAGGGACAGATGTCACTGCCAGCCCCTCATGTCGGCAGAGCAGGCACTCCCCATCCTCTCTGTGTTCATTCTATGCTGGGGAAGGGGGCTGGACACTGAAGGAGTGGCCGGGATGCAGAAGCAGTGCAGAGTGTGCTTCTGGGAGACACCCGGAAATCAGGGCAGCTGTGGGGCACAGGGCAAGGGTTACCTTGCCAGCCCCGAAGAGGAGAGGTGGCTGCAGCCCCACCTACACCAGATGCCTCTCTCCGTCCGTCCTGGGTGTCTCTTTCCATGCTCCACTCATGCCCACTGCCCTTCCAGATCACATTTCCAGGAAGTGCCCTGTTCTGGGTGTCACCATCACCCAAGCTGGGGGCACCTTGCAAGCCTTCTGGCCATGGCTTGCTGTCTCTCTGCAGGGTCCCAGGCCCAGGCCAGGGGCCAGTCAGGCAGTGCCGCATGTGGGAGCTGCCTCTTCAGCAGGGGGACAGGGGAGAGGGCATGAGGGGACCCCTGAGCTGCTTCACCTAATCCAAGTACAAACACCACAGCACCAGGTAAGTTAGGTCAGGTGCACTTATGATGAGGCTGATATAAAAAGGAGGAAGCGGAAGTGGGAACTATTTTTAGTTTCTGTATTTCCCTAACCAGGGCAGCTGGCACAGGGATTGGCTTCTTGGTCTCTGATTTCCACTCCAGCACTTTGGCCATCAGAGGATCCTGTGTGAGCTCAGCTGAGCCAGCCCCAACACCCCCCAGCAGCTTTTGGTGGGCAGTGGCAGCGGTCCCTGTGCAGGGCAGGAGCCTGGGGAAGCAGGGGCTGGGTGCTGCTGGTCCCTGGAAGAAGGACTTCTACCCCAGTGCTTTGTGAAGAGGACATGAGGGCAAAGTACTAATTTGCCCCTAGGTAACATGTGTGCTGGGGTTGTAGGCTGAGGTAAGGGTATGAATTCTGCCTGAGGAAAGGCTCAGCCTGGAGTGTAGTCCTGCTGAAGGCCAGAGACCACACACTCCACCCAGACTCCGGATCTCCCTCCCCAGCAGGGGGATGGAGGCCCTGCCGCTGGGAGTGCTGGTGTTATGTGGAAGGGCTGGGCTTCTCCAGGGCTCCTGGGAGGCCTAAACATCTTGCAAGGTTTTGACGTTAATTACTATTATGATTGCTTTCTGTGTGTTACTGTTTTCCCCACACTTTAGCCAGCTAATGTGGAGCTACAGAAGGCCCTCGCCCCTACCCCTCCAGATGTCCCAGCCCATGACAAGCAGGAAGGCCGGGTGCTGGGAGACTTCCTGGGGCTGGATCTGACATCATTCCAAGCAGATGATAACCTGCCTTCCCGATTTCCAAACCCACAGCAAGACACCCTGGAGTTATTTATAAATGCGAGCCCCTGGGTGCACTTCTGACGGGACCAGCACCCTGACGGCCATGAGAGGGTGGAGACAGCGCACCCCGAGCTCAGGGAGGCAGGAAACTCTGGACCTGGAGGCCGGGCACCATGAGGGACACGCTGCAGGCCCAGCTGCTGCCGCCTGGGGCGGGGCTGCCCTGCAGGCTCCGGGAAAACCCAGAACCAGGCCGGATCAGCGTGTGTCAAGAGGCGGGGCGTGAGAGATGAGCTGCTTTTTTTCTTCACAGGGTTGGCAGGAACTGCAAATAATAGAAAGTCTTTAGGGTCTAACACGCTGCCCTGAAAACACTATCATTACTTTCCTAATGACTAACTGTGTCTTTCAGCCGGCGGGGCAGGCAGCTGAGGCCGCAGGCTCCCGCAGAGGACCGGGGGAGGCTGGCAGCCTGTAATCTGGGGGCGCTGACAGTGCTCTGCCCAGACCCTCGCGCCAGCTCCAGCTCCAGCACAGCAGCCCTGGGTCCCTCTGGCCCCCTGCCCGCAGAGTCCAGGTGTGGCAGAGGCCGCCCAGTATCCCTTCTCCTCCTCCTTTTCTAAAAACAGAGTCTCACGATGTTTCCCATGCGGGTCTCCAACGCCTGGGCTCAAGCGATCCTTCTGCCTCGGCCTCCCAAAGCGTTGGGATTAAGGGGCGAGCCACCGCGCCCGGCCCACCTTCCCTTCTGGTTCATTTCCAGTAAGGTCCTGTCCACAGCGTCCTTCCCAGCATTCCCACCAGGCTGCAGGCCTTGGCCTCCCTCCCCTCCATTCTCATTCTCCCCGAAACCGCCAAGCGCGTCCAAAGCACGGGTTCGCCAAGCGCCCCCCCCGCCCCACTCCACATTCCCTTCCCCGCCGACTCAGCCTCCGTAGCTCGCGGACGGCCCCTCCTCACGCCAGCCCAGGCTTTTTTTTTTTTTTTTTCTTCTATTTTAAGGTTGTCTTTTAATGACACAAGCGACATTTGGAGACAAAAGGACACATCTCTTCCTGACCCACCTCCAACCCCAGCTGACGGCCGCCCTGAGCCTGGCGTAGACGGCCCGGAACGTTCCCTGCGTGGGTTCCGTCCATCCCGAACCCCTGTCCCCGCGCCGGCTCCGGGGGTGCTCGGGGGGCCGCGTGGGGTCTGTGACGTCGCCTCGAGGCTGCATCCCGGTGACCCGGCAGCCCCTGGCGCTCGCGGGAGGCGGGCGGGCGCGGACCCCAGGCTTTAGGGCGCGATTCCTGCAGCTGGCTGCCGGCCCGAGGTTCTGGGGTGTCTGAGGTCTCGGGCGGGGCGAGGACGTTTCTCCGGCTCAGCCCCCCCACCTCCTGCCCTGCCGCCCCCCACACCCAGCTCCCCACGGACGCCAAGAGGCGCCTCCCACCCCGGCGAGGACCCGCGGGGAAACGGGGCCCAGGCGCGGCGACTGCGGAGGACGCGCCTCGGCCCCAGCGCCCTGGTCCTCGGGGCGTCCGGCTGCCCTTGCCCGAGGCCGGGGCGGGCGCTCAGCGCCGCGGAAGAAACGCCCGGGCGGGGACGCACAGCGAGGCGGGCTCCGCGGGAAGTACCGGGAAAACGGCGCGGAGCGGAACAGCCCGGAGCCAGCCCAGAGAAAGGGCGGCCTCCCCCTGCAGCCCCCGGGGCCCAGCAACGCCCCGCCCCAGGCCACGGCACGCGAACGCCGGGCGGGCGGAGGGGACAGGGCGGCGGGACCAGCGCGGGGCGGGCAGCGTCTGGGCACAGGCTCACGAGCCGCTCGGGGCCCCTGCCCGCCGGGCGCTGCGGCCCCAGCCTCCGGGCCGGGGCCAGGCCCACAGAGAACGGGAAGCGGGCGCTGCAGGGGGACCTTCGGGGTTGCGGCACGGCTGGGAATTCAACGGCCATTCCCGTCCCGTCGGGCCCACCCGCCCGCCCGCCAAATCCCCGCCCACCGCGGATCCGCCCCGTCCACCAAGGTCTCGCTCACCAACGGCCCGCCCCGCCCACCACAGGCCTGGCCCGCCCACGAAGGCTCGCCCCGCCCATCCACGGCCCTGCCCACCACAGGCCCGCCCCAAGCCTGGGCCCCGCCCCAGCAAGGGCACTAATCCCCTAACCCCCGAGCCCCGCCCACTGCTCTTGCCCTTCTCCCGCCCGCCCCGACTTAGGCCTCTCCCCGGCCTGGCCTCCCGTACTCAGCCCCGCCCCTGCCCCGCCCCCACCCCACCCCAAATGTGACCTGCCCCTCCCACTGCCCGTCCCCTCCCCGCTTCACTTCATTAGGCCCCCGCCCCGATTCTTGCCCCGCCCGCTCAATGTCCCGCCTACGACCCCGCCCACTACTAGTGACCGGCCCGCCCGTTCGAGGCCCCGCCTCCTCCCCGCCCAATGCTCGGCCCCGCCCCGCGCGTCATTGGGCCAGGTCCCCGCCCCGCCCCCAGCCCCACCCCCGCCCCTTTGACTGGAGTTGGCTTTTTCCAGAGAACTTTCCGGGCTCGGATTGGCCGCGCCGGTTGATGTTCCGCCCTTTCATTGGCCCGCGGCGCCCGCTTTCGCGAGCCTGCCCTTGGGCGGGGGCGGGGCCGGCGGCGGCGCGCGGCGCTAGATTGGTTAGCGGCGCAGAGGGGCGGGCCCGCGCCGCGCGCAGCGCTCGGGCTGGAGCGCCTGAAGCCGCGACCGCCGCCTCAGCCGCCTCAGCCGCGGTCGCCGCCGCTTCGGCTGACTTAGGCTCCGCCGCCGCCTCCTCACCCGCCTCGCCCCGACCCCGCCCGGGCCTCCCGGCCTCTCCCCGCCGGCCCGCGGGCTCGCCGTCCGGCGCAGGGCAGGTGAGTGAGCGGTGGCGGGCGGGGTCGGGGTCGGGCGCCCTTGCGGGTTACGGGGACCCAGTCCCCGACGGAGGCCGAGTGACGGGGCGACCCCGGGCCGCGGCAAACTTCGCCCGAGCCGGGGCGGGCGGGGGTCCCGGGCTGGGTCGCGCCGTCCCCGACCGCCGCCGGCGCCTGCGGCGGCCCGGGGCAGCGAGGGGACTCGCGCTCCCTCAAGGTGCGGTCGCCAGGCCTGGCCCGCCCGCCTCCGCCCCCTCCCCAAATTCGGAAGTTGCGGCGGGAAGCCGAGAACGTCTCGGATGTGGGTCAGAAAACGTCTGGACTACTTGAGGCTTCAGTTTCAAAACGGCACAAATTTCATCTCTTGATTGAGAAGAGATCTGGGGAACACCCCGGAGCGGCCGCGGCGGCTGGAGGGCGGCGGGGCGGGGCGCGGGGCCTCCTCCCCCTGGACGGCCGCCGGGAGAGCGCGGCCTCACCCCTCGGTGACCCTGCGGAGAGCCGCGCGCGGGCGGTGGGGCGCGCGCAGGTCTCTCTTGTTGCTCGCTGTGTTTTATTTTAATTTTGGGGGTGGTTAGAACGTGTTTCTTATTGTCCCCACACGTGTTCTAATTGGAAGTCTTGTTTCGTGAAAGAGTTTTTTTCTTTTTTTTGCCTGGTGATGTTTTCCAATTCCCTCCGCGCCACTCTGAAGTATATTACTGGCATAAGAAATTTGAAAGTTAACCAAAAGTCGGGTCCTAAATCTCGTGGCTCGGGGTTGGTTATCTTCCACCGTCCTTCAGAGCAGCCTGGATTTGCAGGTCTTGTTAGCCCTCCATGTGAGCCAGTAGCACTCTTAGTTGTTGAGTGTTTGTAGAGTGGGATTCGCCAGAAGGAATCTTGAGCAGCAGGGCCTTGCGGAGAGGCCTTTAGAGATTAGACTGGGCAACTTATAGACTCCCCCCATTTCAAAAATATTCCTCTGGCACAGGCCCTCACATATCCCTCTGAAATTGAACTCACTTTCAGGGGCAAACTGTTGCCCTTTTTCTTTTCTTTGGACTTTCTCAGATGTGGATCCCAAAGGAGTGTGCAAGGGTGCTTCCCTATTTAAGAGAACTAACTCCCAGTCCTCCTCATATTCAAGAATAATTCATCATCTTAAAGCGTGTCAGAGATACCTATTTTGGCCCCAAAAGGAGTGTTTGTAGAACAGTGGCACTCTAAAGGGATCATTTGCAAGATCTGAAAGGACCTAATTGATCATCACACGACAGAAGCAGAAATAGTTCTGGTGTTTTCAGGCTTGGAGATCTGTCAGAAAACATGGGGCCTTAAAACTAACAAGTGCAGTGACCGACTAACTGATGTCTCACTTTCGAGCAGTATTTTTTTTTTTTGCTTGTATGTAGATGCTGTTGTTTATACAGTGCAAGTTCATTACGAATGGTTTAGAACTTACGTAGCTTCACGTATTTTCTTAGTTGATAATATTATAAGGTTTTGAAAAAGTTTTGATGATAAATGGGGTCTTTATAACTGAAAAAAATGGACTCTGTCTAGAATTCAGGGCTTTTTGGCTGGCGTTGCCCCAGGTGCTGCTGATTAGTGGTGCTTTTGGACCTCAAAACATCACTTTCCCAGATATCTTTATAATGCTCATGGTGGGGGAAAACCCACACAGCTTTGTGGTTACGTTTTTAGCTATTTATGCGAAAAAGTTCAACATATAGTTGTATTTTGCTAGCTGTTTTGAAGAAGCTATTCTTTACCCTATTGTTCTGAGGAGGCTGACAGCATGCTGCATTTATAAATTTGAAAAAGCCTCACGAGCTTCTTGAACCAATCTAGCTATTCAGATTTGGATTCTGTGTATCAGTTTTGATTATTTCAGTTCCTGTGTCAATGGCAGAATCATTTCTATTTTTACAAAAGTCTCATGGCTTTATTGTAAAGGTGAACACTGAAACAGATTTTAGTAGATGTAAGTTGTGTATCCTCTCAGTGAAGAAGGCAGTGCTTTGGGCCATAACCAAGGAAAATACTTGCTCATGTATTGGAATTGCCCCAACTTAAACATTAGAATAAATGCTGTAGATTTTGGGGCAGCTCTGATGTCTCAGCTCTCATCCCTGGTGGCAGTGACTCAGAGGCAAGGCGTCATGGGCCCGCTGTCCATGGTGCTGAATCCGTGTCACCTGTTTCTCTCTCTCTCTCTCTCTCTCTCTCTCTTTCTCTCTCTCTCTCTCTCTCTCTCTGTGTGTGTGTGTGTGTGTGTGTGTGTGTGTGTGTGTGTTTTGGGGCAGGGGGAGCTCAAACTTCCTTTCCAGTGTACTTTAAAATTAATTTCAGAATTCATATTATTAAATAAAATTTGATCAGGGAAATTATGTTGAATGGGAGCGTGTCTTGAAAACACGCCATTTTATTCTTCTTTTTAAGGAGGATAATTATGCTACAACATTCAATTTCCTTTGCTTAGTCTTCACTGTCTCTCTAGGTGGGAGTTTTGTTGCTTGAGTATGGGCATCAAGTAACAAATCACTGACATTAAATGAAACCCTGTTTTCTTAACAACCATTCCTTTAAGAAAGTACCAGTTTGTTTTAGTTTGTTTTCTTTTGCTTATAACAGAATACCTGAAACTAGGTAATTTACAAAGCAAAGGAATTTATTTCTTATAGTCATGGAGGCTGAGAAGTCTAAGGTCCGGGGGCCAAAGCCACCAGCTCCACTCCCATGACAACCCACTAATCCATTAACCCATGAATGGATTAATCCATTTTATGAGGGCAGAGCCCTCTTGATCCAATCACCTCTTAAAGGTCCCACCTCTCAATACTGCTTCTGCATTGAGGATTACATTTCAGCATGAGTTTTGGAGGGGATATTCTAATCATAGCACCTTTATTACAATATAGACATACATCTGTAGGCATATATCTATGTAGGGGCAACTTGTTCCCAAAAGGGTTGACTCTAGCATGTTTTGCATTCTCCAGCATGTTGGTTCTCAGCCTTTCCTGGCGATGGGATCTGTTTATGTGTTGGGCTACTGAGTGGTTGCCAGGCATTCCTGTTGTGTTAGAGCTATATCTACTCTCTTTTCTCTAATATTGAGGACATCTTTGTAAATCATTTTACATGAATCTTTTCTTTCTCTTGAGGTTAATGTTGTCAGTTACTTTAGAATTGCCCCACAGGTTAGCAGTAAAAAAAAAACAAAAAAGATAGATGTCACTTGTGGTACAGAGATGTCACATGGTAGTAAGTTGTATATCAAGCTAAGCAGTGGATTGTTGAGGTGCTTTTTGTTATGATCATCTGAACTGATTCTGTGGCCCCATTTGTTGTACACTTAACCCAGGTTACTCTTTGACATCTCTTTTGTTGACAGAAACTCAGGAAAACTTCCTTCTGCCTCATCCAAGCTTCAGAAATACTCCCTGATTCCCTACTGTTTGCCATTTCCTATGCTATGATCTGGGAACCCATGAGGGAATGAGACAGAGTTCTTATTGAAGGGCTCACCTGTTCGGATTGAGGAAGGAACATGTAAACAGATAATTACAGGGGGCCATACTCAGTGCTGCAGTTGGGATACATAGAAAACCAGGCAAACGTGTTGAGGGGCAATTCATTTGGGCCGAGAATCAGGGAAAGCTTTAGAGAGGAGGTGGCCTTTGGGCTGGACCCTAGGGCATGAGTTATAATTGGGCATGGATTGGGTATACATTTATTAGAAAAAGACTGGAAGGTTGGAATAACCGGAGTACAGAGTGTGTAGTGGTGTGGAGGCTGGAGGTATGGAAGCATAGTGAAGGAGTTGGGACCCTGCTGGAAGTGTTAGGGGCATTGTGAAATGGTTGGAACTTTGTTGGAGATGGAGGGGGGTGAAAGTGGAGGAGGAGTTGCATGGTAGGTAGAATAATGGCTCATAAAGCTGTCCACATCCTAATCTCAGGACTATGTTATGTTACATGGCAGGGGAGTTAAGGCAGCAGATGGAATGAGGTTGCTAATCAGCTGATTTTAAAATAGGGAGATTATCCTGGATTATCTGGGTGGGCTCTGAGTAATCACAAGGGTTCTTAAAAGTAGAAGAGAGAGGCAGAATAGTCAGTGTCAGAGTGATGTGAGGTGAGAAAGACTCTAGCTGCCATTGCTGGCTTTGAAGATGGAAGGGTGCACTAGTCAAGGAATGTGGGAAGCCTTTGGAAAAGGCAAGAAAAGGGATTCTGTCCCCTAGAGACTTGGGAAAGGAATGCAGTCCTTGGTTTCTAGCCCAGTGAGACCCTTGTCTGACTTGTGACCTCCAAAACTGTAAGATAAATGTTTGTTGTATTAAAACACTAAGTGTCTGGAAGTTTGTTCCAACAGCAGTAAGAAACCGATAAAAACTGGGTCTCTTCATTTGGCAGTCTTAGCTGACAAAATTAAGGAGGGAATAACATGATTAGATTGGTTTTAGAAGATAAAATGATGGAGCTGCCACTTGGGTATAATTCAGCCCAGATAAGCATAGTTCTATTCTCTATTTCACCTCCTAGGTAAGACTGGCATCTGATATTGTCTTATTTGGCCCAAATCCCACTTCCAGTCTCTCTCAGCAGCTTCCACAGCCTATACCACTCCCAATTGCCGTGTCCCACTGGGTCATCTTTCCTCTGTGTTGGACACTTGAGAAAGAGTAGACCAGGTATGCACTTACCACTGAGATTGTGGTGTCACAGGCTAGGCCCAATTCCAACCTCATAGCTGTTGTCAGATTACTTTCCAGAGGTTTGTTTCTTTACATCCTCACTAATCCTTCGTAGCTTCAGATGTTTTAATTATTGCCAATTGAGTAGATATTAAATATCTTACTGTTTTAATTAGCATTTCCTTGGCTAGTGAGTTTGAGGATTTTCTACCCATACTTTGGCCACTTGAGCTTCTTCTAAAAATTGTATTCTTATATTGTTTGTCCACTTATTGTCTGGATTATCCTTTTTATAGCTTTTTAGAAGTTCTTTACATATTCTGGATTCTATTTGTATCCTGTTCTTTATCCTTTTAAATGTGCTGTTTTGATGAACAGATGTTCAGTTTTAATGTAGTCAGATTTATCAATATTTTCCTTACAGTTTATGGTGATTGAGTCTGATTTAAGAAATCTTGTGTTACTACAAGGTAATTGTTTTAGTCCATTTTCATGCTGCTGATAAAGACATACCCGAGACTGGGCAATTTACAAAAGAAAGAGGTTTAATGGACTTACAGTTCCACGTGGCTGGGGAGGCCTCACAATGATGGCGGAAGTTGAAAGGTACATCTCACATGGCAGCAGACAAGAGAAGAGAGAGAGCTTGTGCAGGGAAACTCCCCTTTTAAAACTATCTGATCTCTTGAGACTTACTCACTGTCACAAGAACAGCATGGGAAAGACCTGCCCCCATGATTCAATTACCTGCTTACTGGGTCCCTCCCATAACACATGGGAATTCAAGATGAGATTTGGTTGGGGACACAGCCAAACCATATCAGTCATAATATATCCTCCTCTTTAAAAAATATTTAAATATTTGCTTTTTATAGTCTACTTAGAACTTATTTTTGTGTGGGGTATGAGATAGAGATCCAATTTTAAATTTTTTCCAAATTCATAACCAATTGTACCAGTATTGTTTATTGAATACAGTCCTTTCCCCAGTGATCTGCAGTGGTACCTCTGAAACACATCAGATTTCACAAATGCATGGATCAGTTTCTGGTTGCTTCATGTACCTAATGATAATTTAATTTCTTTCTCCCTAGTTCTTAAATCTTTTATTGATCTTTTTTTGTCTTTTTTCCTTTGCTTGGACCACTAGAGAAAGTTGTATGGAGATTGTGGTAAGATTATCCTTATATTGTTTTTCATTTAAAAGAAATGCTGTGAAAGACTGAATTATGAACTTTGTTATTTTTTTTTTGGTAGATTCCTTTATTAGGTTAAGGATGATCACTTTACTAGTAGTTTAATAAAAGCTTTTTAAAAAAATCATGAATAGATTTTGAATTTTCTCAAATGGTTTTCTATACAGTGTACTTATTTAGATAATTTTAAGCTTTTTTTAAAAATCGTGATTGAGATGAGATATTTTATTCTTTTAATTTAAGCCATCATTGATTTCCTGGGAGAAACTGTGATGTACTACATTAAAAAATATTACCAGGCCAGGTGTGGTGGCTCACACTTGTAATCCCAACACTGAGAGGCTGAGGCTGGAGGATCATTTGAGCGCAGGAGTTCAAAACCAGACTGGGAAATATAGTGAGACCCCATTTTTACAAAAAAAAAAACCAAAGAAAAAAAATTAGCCGGGCATGGTGGCATGCATCTGTAGTCCTAGCTACTTGGGGGACTGAGGTTGAAGGATCACTTAAGGCTGGGAGGTTGAAGCTGCAATGAACTGTGATCATGCCTCTGCACTCCAGCCTAAATTATTGGACCCAATATGCAAATATTTGGGATTTTGGCATATATATTCATAAGAGGTGTTGACCAGTGATAATCTTTTCTTGTATCACCCTTATTCAGATTTGGTATCAACATGATACTTCATCATCTTTGTAATAATTTCTTTCTTTTTTTTAGAGACAGGGACTCTCTCTGTCACCCAGGCTAGAGTGTAGTGGTGCTATCATATCCTACTGCAGCCTTGAAGTCCTGGACTCGAGTGATCTTCTTGCCTTAACTTCTTGATTAGCTGGGATTATAGGCGCAAACCACCATGCTCAGATAATTTTTAAATTTTCTTTTTGTAGAATAAGGGTCTTGCTATGTTGCCCAGGCTGGTCTTCAACTCCTGGGCTCAAGAAATTCTCCCATCTTGGCCTCCCAAATGTCATAGTTTTGGAAAGGGAGGAATTTTTATTTCCTGGAAATTTGGCAAAATCGATTCTTAAATGGTCTGGATCTGGACCTTTTTAAATATGGAGACACTTGCAGTAGCAATTAATCACTTTGGAAGGGTCGCTAGTCCATTCTGCTCACATTTCATTGGCCAGAAGGAGTCATTCTGGCCATACCTAATTTCAGATGGGGCGGGGTGGTAGAATCTTCCTCATCCTGGAAGCAGGGGGCACTCAGTCCAATAGCACAAGGAAACAAATTTTGTCAATAATCTTGAGTGAGCGTGGGAACAGATTCTTCCCGTCAAGGCTTCAGGTGAGAACACAGCCTGGCAAACACTTTGAATGCAGCTTTGTGAGACCCTAAGCAGAGGACCCAGTTAAGCCTGCTTAAATTCGTGACTCACAGAAACTGTGAGATATTAAATACATATTGGTTTAAGGTGTTAAATTTGTGATAGCTTGTTATGTGGCAATAGAAAACTGATGTACTGATCTCTACTGACCTCCCCTTAGAAGTGGATTTGGGTTGATGAAGGGTGTTCGACTCTATTTAAGGTAACCAGCTTATTATTTATTTTCTTTTATACAACGTTTTTTCTATTTATAAAAGTAATACAAATGTTTTGTGTAGAAAAATTGGAAGAAACAGAAAATTATAAAGTAGAAGATCAACATTATCCTTAATCTTAGCACAAAAGGATATTCAGTGTTTTTTCCTACTTGTATTTATGTATGATATGCATATCCTAAAGTTGGGATTCATTCCAAAGTATGTTTTTTGAACCAATATTTTTCCTTTTACTAGATCATGAGCATTTCCTTGTCTCATAATGTGTTCTTCTAAAATATGATTTCAAATGGCTGCATACTATTCCAAAGAGTGTCCCAGTTTATTGAACCATTTCCCTATAGCTAGACATTTATGTTGCTTTAAAATACTCATCATGATAAATAATGCTTTGAAAAATATCCTATACAAAAATCATTGTGCGTATCACTGATTGCTTCTAAATTTCTAAAGGTAGAACTATTAGCTCAAAGGTTGTAAATGTTTTTAAGTCCTTTTCTACCTAACCATCTATTTTCCAACATTTCTAAAAAATAATGTAAGACTTAGACATCTGTTTCTGTAACTCACCAGGTTGGGATAGGACAGAACTATTGATTTTTGAGCATCTAGGTTCCTGTTTTCTTAACCCTGTTTGCAGAGTGGTTTTAAATTATTCATTAAAGTGCAATATGGATTCTATTTATAGACGCATTTGTGTATGAGATCGCTCCTTTAATGTTTGGGGAAAAGCCTACAAATTGCTATTATCACATTCCTATCTTTGTAAATCCTTTTCTACTCCTATTCACCCTTTCTTTGTTCTCAGTCAACCCAGTAGAGACACTGAGACAAATAAAGCCTTGTATCCTTATATTATTCAGACAGAATGGCTGTTCTGAGCCAGCCCTTGTTCTTTTCTTCTTGCCATTTATTAATTAGTTGATCTCAAAAAGATGAGAGATCAGAATATTAATGATTAATTCAAAAATATTTTTCCTGGTCCCTAAAGTAATGGATGTTTGTGTAGAAAATTTCTAAAGGAAAGATTAGCATAAAAAGCAGAATAAAATCTTGATAATTCTACTACCCACAGATGACTACTATTTAAACATAACTTGATCATGCCAGCTTATTCTTAAAATATGTGACTGGATTCTGATGGCTTTTTTTTTTTTTTTTGAGACGGAGTCTTGCTCTGTTGCCCAGGTTGGAGTGCAGTGGCATGATCTTGGCTCACTGCAACCTCCTCTTTCCGGGTTCAAGCAGTTCTTCATGCCTCAGGCTCCAGAGTAGCTGGGATTACAGGCACGTTCCACCACGCCTGGCTAATTTTTGTATTTTTTAGTAGAGACGGGGTTTCACCATGTTGGCCAGGCTGGTCTCAAACTCCTGACCTCAGGTGATCTGCCCGCCTCGGCCTCCCACAGTGCTGGGATTATAGGTGTGAGCCACCACGCCCGCCCTGATGACTAATATTTTGTTTGGAGTTTTTGCATTTGTGCCTGTGAGTGAAATTGGCTTGTAATTTTCCTTTCTTATAGCTGTTCTCTTTTCTAATCTGAGATGAATGCTTAATTTATTAATTTGCAGCTTTTCCTTTTTTTCTAATATGTGTGTTTAAAGTGATATATTTTCTTGTAAACAATGCCTCAACTACATCATACAAAGTTTGATCTAAGGCATTTTCATTATTGTTTGTTATGCTTTCTAATTTCCATTATGGTTTTTTCTTGGATTCCTAGGTAATTTAGAAGAACGTTTAAACATTTCTAAACATATGCATATTTTCTTGTTTTATTATTCTTCAGCAAAATTATATTGCCCAAAGATCCTGCTTTCTATGATTTTAATCCTTTGAAATATGCTGATTTGCCTTGTAGCCCAGAATATGGTATGTAAGTTTTCTCAGATATTCCTATGTGCCTGGAAATAATTGGGTTCAATGTACTATACTAAATATTCTGTTTAGCTGAGTTGGTAAGCATGTTACATCTGCTTTCTTACTAGTTTTTTTTGGTTGTTATATTCATTACTGAGATAATTACACAATTTCATGATGATTATGGATTTGTCTTATTTTTTCTAGCAGTTCTGCCAGTTTTTATGTATAAATTTTTGAGACTGTGTTGTCAGGGCCACACAGATTTAAAACTATTAGGTCTTCCTGATGAATGGAGACTTTAATTATTATGACTGGTTCTCTTTATATCTAGTAATTAATATTTGACTTTATGATATGGTATGTCTGATGTTAATATTAACATAGCCATGCTAGATGTTTTAGGCTCATATTTACATACTATCTTTGTTTTTTATCTTATTCTCAACCTTACTATAGTTTTATGCTTTAGGTATGTCTCTTGCAAAGAGTATAGTTAGATATTTTTTTCATTCAATCTGACAGTCTTTGTCTTTTAATTGGAACAGTTCATTTACATTAAATGTAATTACTGATCTATTTGGGTTTAAATTTACGATTCTATTATGTATTTGTCTTGTCCTACATTTTCTGTGTTTATTTTTCTCTCTTTTCTTGCATTATTTTAATCTGATAATGTGATTTTTTGAAAAAATCATTCCATTTTTCCACCTTCTCCAGTAGTTTGGAGATTGTCCTATTTTTTGTTCTTTTAGTGGTTATTGTGTAAATTGTTACTAACTTATCCAGATAATGTAGTTATACCTTTATCTTTCTCCTAGACAGATCATAGTTTCTTAGAAGACTTGAACTCTATGACCCCCCTCCAGATTCATATGTGCTTATTATTATGCACTTTAATTCTATATATTCTTTTTAAATTCAGTGAAATAAATTAATATTAACGGTATTATATTAACAATATTGGTATTAATAGTATTATTACTGGTAACATTAACAGTATTGTATTAACAGTAATATTAACAGTTAGTGTTCATTTAGATTTATTCAGATACTTGTCTTTTCTTTGCTCTTCATTGCTCCCTGGCATTTCTAACTTATTCTGGGATGATTTCATTTCTGCCCAAAGGGCCCTCTTTAGAAATTCCTTTATTGCAGGTCAGCTGATGTAGACATTGCATTTTTTTTTTTTTTTTTTTTTGAGATGGAGTCTTGCTCTGTTGCCAGGCTGGAGTGCAGTGACGTGATCTCAGCTCACTGCAGCCTCCACCTCCCAGGTTCAAGTGATTCTCCTGCCTCAGCCTTCCCAGTAGCTGGGACTACAGGTGCACGCCACCACGCCCAGCTAATTTTTGTATTTTTAGTAGAGACAGGATTTCACGATGTTGGCTAGGATGGTCTCAATCTCTTGACCTCGTGATCTGCCCACCTTGGCCTCCCAAAGTGCTGGGATTATAGGCGTGAGCCACCGCGCCTGGCCAACATTACATATTTTTTAATCTAAAAATATTTTTATTTCATCTTTTAACAAATTCTTTCAATTTACTTAAACGTTTTGTGGGATATAATTCACACACTATAAAATTCACCCTTTTAAAGTTTACAATTGAGTGTTTTTTGGTGTATTTTCAAGGTCATGCAACTGTCATTACTACATAATTCCAGAACATTTTCTTCACTTTAAAAAGAAACCTCATACACAGTAACTACCTGTTTCTTCCTCCCCAAAGGCCCTGGCAACTGTGAATTTAGTTTTCATCTCTAAGAATTTGCCCATTATGGAAATTTCATATGAGTGGAATTATATAGTATGTGGCCTTTTGTGTCTGGCTTCTTTCACTTTGCATAACATTTTCAAGCTTTATCCATGTTGTAGTATGTATCAGTATTTCATTCCTTTTTGTGGCTAATATTCAGTTGTATCGATATATGGCATTTTGTTTATCCATTCATCAGTAGATAGACATTTCGGTTGTTTTTTGGCTGTTATGAACAACATGCTATGAACAGTAGTACGAGTTTTCATATGAATATATGTTTTCACTTGTCTTGGTTTACACTAGAAGTAGAATTGCTGAGTCATACAGTAACTCTGTTTAACTTTTTGAATAACTGCCAAATTGTTTCCCGAAGATGCTGCAACATCTTCGGGAAACAATTTGGCAATGTAAAATTCCAAACAATTTGGAATGTAAAATGCTGCACCATTTTATATTCCCATCAGTAATTTATGAGGGTTCCAATTTCTGCACATTCTATTCTCTCAAACACTTGTTATTTTCCAGTTTTTTGATTATAGCCATGTAGTGGGTGGGAAGTAGTAGATATTGTGGTATAAATTAGCATTTCTGTAGTGACTGATGGTATTCAGCCCTTTTTATGTACTGCTTATTGGCCCTTTTTGTTTTTTCTTTGGAGAAATGGCTATTTAAATCCTTTGCCCAAGACTTCATGACTAAAACACCAAAAGCAATGGCAACAGAAGCCAAAATTAACAAATGGGATCTAATTAAACTAAAGAGCTTCTGCACAGCAAAAGAAACTATCATCAGAGTGAACAGGCAACCTACAGAATGGGAGAACGTCTTTACAATCTATCCATCTGACAACGGTCTAATATCCAGAGCCTACAAAGTACTTAAACAAATTTTCAAGAAAAAAAAACCCATCAAAAAGTGGGCAAGGCATATGAACAGAAGAAGACATTTATGCAGCCAACAGACACATGAAAAAATGCTCATCATAACTGGTCATTAGAGAAATGCAAATGAAAACCACAATGAGATACCGTCTCACACCAGTTTGAATGGCAATCCTTAAAAAGTCAGGAAACAACAGATGCTGGAGAGGATGTGGAGAAATAGGAAAGCTTTTACACTTTTGGTGGGAGTATAAATTAGTTCAACCATTGTGGAAGACAGTGTGGCGATTTCTCAAGGATCTAGAACCAGAAATACCATTTGACCCAGCAATCCCATTACTGGGTATATACCCAAAGGATTATAAATCATTCTACTGTAAATACACATGCATGCATATGTTTATTGCAGCATTGTTCACGATAGCAAAGACTTGGAACCCACCCAAATGCCCATCAGTGATAGACTGGATAAAGAAAATGTGGCACATATACACCATGGAATACTATGCAGCCATAAAAAAGGATGAGTTCATATCCTTTGCAGGGACATGGATGAAGCTGGAAACCATCATTCTCAGCAAACTAACACAAGAACAGAAAACCAAACACCGCATGTTCTCACTCATAAGTGGGAGTTGAACAATGAGAACACATGGACACAGGGAGGGGAACATCATACACCAGGGCCTGTCGGTGGTGGGGGCCTAGGGGAGGGATAGCATTAGGAGAACTACCTAATGTAGATGACGGGTTGATGGGTGCAGCAAACCACCGTGGCATGTGTATACCTGTGTAACAAACCTGCACGTTCTGCACATGTATTCCAGAACTTAAAGTATAATAAATTAAAAAAAATAGCTGAAAACAAAAACAAAAATAAATAAATCCTTTGCCCATTTAAAAACTGGATTGTCTTTTTATCGCTGAGTTGTAAGTGTTCTTTATGTATTCTGTATGTTAGTCCCTTATCAGGTATATGATTTGCAAATATTTTCCCTCCAACTGTGAGTAGTCTTTTCATTTTCTTTTCTTTCTTTCTTGAGACAGAGTTTTGCTCTGTCGCCTAGGCTAGAGTGCAGTGGCGCAACCTCGGCTCACTGCAAGCTCTGCCTCCCAGGTTCATGCCATTCTCCTGCCTCAGCCTCCCGAGTAGCTGGGACTACAGGTGCCCGCCACTGCGCCTGGCTAATTTTTTGTATTTTTAGTAGAGACAGGGTTTCACCGTGTTAGCCAGGATGGTCTCGCTCTCCTGACCTCGTGATCCACCTGCCTCGGCCTCCCAAAGTGCTGGGATTACAGGTGTGAACTACCGTGCCCAGCCTCATTTTCTTGATAGTATCCTTTGATGCACAAATGATTTTTATTTTGGTAATACTGCATTTATCTATTTTTTTCTTTTGTTGCTTGTGCTTTGTCATATTTAAGACATTGCTTAATCCTAGGTCACAAAGATTTACACCTCCGTTTTATTCTAAGGGTTTTATAGTTTTAGCTCTGAAATTTAGGTCTTTGGTGCGTTTTGAGTTAATTTTTGTCTATGGTATGAAGGAGGAGTTTAACTTCATTCTTCTGCCTGTGGCTGTCTAGTCCTAGTACCATTTGTTCAAAAGACTACCTATTGAATGGCCTTAGCACTTCTGTCAAAACTCAGTTGACCATAAAATATGGGTTTATTTCTGAACTCTCAACTCTATTCCATGGACCTATATGTCTCTCTCTATGCCAGCAGCACACAGTCTTGATTATTGTAGCTTTGTAGTAAGTTTTAAGATTGGAAAGTGTGAGTCCTTCAACTTTGGTCTTTTTATTTATTTTGGTTATTCCTGGTCCCTTGCATTTTCATATGATTTTTAGGTTTGGTTTGTCACTTTCTGGAAAAAAAAAAAGGCAGGTAGAATTTTGATGGGGATTAATTGAATCTGTAGATAATTCGGGGAGTATTGTCAGGTTAACAATATTAAGTTTTCCAATCCATGAGCATAGGATTTAGTAGCTATAATAGTTTTTTAGTGGATTCCTGAGGATTTTTTATATGCAAGATTATATTATCTGCAGATATAGATACTTTTAATTCTTTGCTTCTAATCTGCATGCCTTTTTAAAATTTTTCTCATGTAATTGCCCTGGTTATAAGCTTTAACACAATGTTTAATTGTTGTGGCAAGGGTGGACATCATTGTTTGTTCCTTATCTTAGGGGGAAAGCTTTTAGCCTCTCACCAGTAAGTATAGGTAGCTGTGAATTTTTATAGATGCCCTTAATTAGGTTGAGGAATTTCCCTTCTATCCCTATTTTGTTGAGTGTTATTATCATGAAAGCGTGTTGAATGTTGTCAGATGCTTTTCCTGCATCTATACTGTTATTTTTGTCCTTTATTATATTAATGTCATGTATTACATTGATTCAGTTTTGTATGTTGAGCCAACTTTGAATTCCCTAGATAAATCCCACTTGTCATGGCATATAATCCTTTTTATATATTGGTGGATTCGGTTTTGCAAGTGTTTTGTTGAGGATTTTTTGAGATGGAGTCTCACTTTGTCACCCAGGCTGGAGTGCAGAGGTGCGATCTCAGCTCACTGCAGCCTCTGCCTCCTGGAGTCAAGCGACTCTCCTGCCTCAGCCTCCTGAGTAGCTGGGATGACAGGTGCGTGCCACCATGCATGGCTAATTTTTGAATTTTTAGTTGAGACAGGGTCTTACCATGTTGGCCAGGCTGGTCTTGAACTCCTGACCTCAAGTGCTCTGCCTGCCCTGGCATCCCAAAATGCTGGGATTACAGACATGAGCCGCCACACCCAGCCTTGTTAAGGATTTTTAAGTTTGTATTCTTAAGACATGTTAATCTATAGTTTTCTTGTGATCTCTTTGTCTGGTTTTGGTATTAGGGTAATACTGGCCTTATAGAATGAGTTGGCAAGTGTCCGTTTCTCCTTGTGAAGGATTGGTGTTCATTCTTTAAATGTTTGATAGAATTTAATAGTGAAGCCATCTGTTTCTAATTTTTCCTTGTGGGAAATTTTTAAAATACTGAATATCTTTACTTGTTTTAGGTTTTTTTCAGATGTACTGTTTTTTAAGTTTTGATAGTTTCTGTCTTTCTAGGAATTTGTGAATTTCACCTAGGTTATCTAATTTATTGGCCATCAGTTGTTCATAATATTTCTTTATAGTCCTTTTATTTCTGTAAGGTTGGTAGTTTTCTTTCTGATTTTAGTAAATTGAGTCTTCCCTCTTTTTTTCTTGGTCATTCTAGATAAAAGTTTGTCAGTTTCATTGGTCTTTTTTTAAAAAAAAAACTTTGGTTTCATTGTTGTTTTTCTATTTTCTGTTTCATTTTTGCTCGAATATTTGTTTTTTTCTTTCTTCCACTTGCAAAGGTTTAGTTGGCTCTTTTTCTGATTTCTTAAGGTAGAACGTTAGGTTATTGATTTGAGATATTTCTCTTTTAACATAGGTGTTTACAGCTATAATTTTGTAAGAACTGCTTTTACTGCCTTTCATAAGTTTTGATATGTTGTGCTTTCTTTTACTTTCCTTTTTTTTTTTTTTTTTTTTTTTGAGACAGGGCCTTGGTCTGACACCCAGGCTAAAGTGCATTGGTGCCATCACAACTCACTGCAGCCTCAACTTTGAGTCTCCTGAGCTCAAACGATCTTCCCACCTCATCCTCCTGAGTAGGTGGGACTATAGGTGCATTCCCCTACACCTGGCTAATTTTTTAATTTTTTGTGAGACACAGTGTCTTGTCATGTTGCTCAGACTGGTCTCGAACTCCTGGGCTCAAGCAGTCCTCCCGCTATGGCCTCCCAAAGTGCTGGGATTACAGGCGTTAGCCACTGTGCCTGGCCTCATTTTTAATGATCTCAAAGTATTTTCTAATTTCCCTTGTGGTTTCTCCCTTGACTCTGGTTATTTAGCAGTGTATTGTTAAATTTCCACAAACTTTTGAATTTCTTAAATTTTTATCTGTTACTGATTTCTATTTTTTTCCCTTGTGGTTGGGGAACATATTTTATATTACTTCAATCCTTTAAAATTTTGGGACTTATTTTCTTGGCTAACACCTGGTCTGTTCTAGAGAATGTTCCATGTGTATTTGAGAATAATGTGTTTTCTGCTTTTTGAATGGAGAATTCTATAAATGTCTGCTAGGTCTAATTAGTTTATTAGTATTGTTTAAATCTTTTGTTTTCTTTCTGATTTTCTGTCTTGCATTCCATCCTGTATTGAAAACGGACTTTTGAAGTTTCCAACTGTTACTGTTGAACTGTCTGATTCTCCCTTTTTTCTCTTAATTTTTTGTTTCATGCATTCTGGGGCTTTATTTTATATGTATACACACACACATATATATATGTATATATATGTATATAATTGTTAGAGCTTCTTGATGAATTGACCTTTTTATAGTTATAAAATATTCTTTGTCTGTAATAACAATTTTTGTATTAAAGACCGTTTTTTTCTGATGTTAATATAGCCATTCAAGCTCTCCTTTGGTTACTGTTTGCATTGTATATATTTTTCCATGCTTTTAACTTATTTGTTCGTTGTATTTAAGTGTCTTTCTTGTATACTACATATAACTGAATCATTAAAAAATCCATTTAGACAATTTCTGTGCTTATATTGGAATGTTTAATCCATTTACATTTAATGCAATTTTGACAAGGTGAAATTTATGCCAGCCATTTTGCTTCTTGTTTTCTCTATGCAATGTCTTTTTGAATTTTCTATTACTCCATTACTGACTTTGTGTTAAATAGATATTTTCATTTATTTTACTATTTTTTATTTTCTTAGGGGTTACTTGGGGTCTTACTACTGGCAATTTGTAACAGTTTAGTTTGGATTAGTACCAGTCTAATTTCACTAGTATACAGAAACTTTGCTTCTGTATATCTCCATTCCCTCCTTCTTCCTTTGTGCTGTTATTGTCATACAAAGTACATCTTGCTGGGCATGGTGGCTCACACCTGTAAGCCCAACACTTTGGGAGGCCGACGCGGACAGATCACTTGAGGTCAGGAGTTCGAGACCAGCCTGGCCAACATGGTGAAACCCCGTCTTTACTAAAAAATAACAAAAATTAGCCGGGAGTGGTGGTGCATGCCTGTAATTGCAGCTACTAGGGAGGCTGAGACAGGAGAATTGCTTGAACCCAGGAGGCAGAGGTTGCAGTGAGCTGAGATTGCACCATTGCACTACAGCCTAGGAGACAAAGGAAAACTCCATCTCAAAAAAAATATATATATATATCTTGTACATTCTGTTCACTTCAACACAGATTTGTAATTACTGGCTTTTACAGTTATCTGTACTTGTTACAGTTTTGTTTTTAATAATTTTTATTTTTCAATTTAAAAATAGATTTAGAGGGAACAAGTACAGTTTTATTACATGCATATATTGCATGCTGGTGAAGTCTAGGCTTTTAGTATAAGCATCACCTGAATAGTGTACATTTTAACCATTAGGTAATTTCTCATTCCCCACCCCCTCTCACCCTCCCACCTTTCCAAATATCTGGTGTCTATTATTACATTCTGTGTGTCCATGTGTATATATTACTTAGCTCCCATATTCTCTCGTAAGTGAGAATATATGGTATTTGACTTTCTGAATTATTTCACTTAAGATAATGGCCTCCATTTCTATCCATGTTGCTGCAAAGGACATGATTTCATTTTTTTATGTGGCTTAGTAGTATTTTTTGGTATATGTATACTACATTTTCTTTATCCAGTCAGCTGTTGATGGATACTTAGGTTGGTTCCATATCTTTCTATCATGAATAGTGCTGTAATAACATACGAGTACAAGCATCTTTTTGATACAGTGATTTCTTTTCCTTTGGGTAGATAGCCAGTAGTGGGATTGCCAGATCAAATGGTAGTTCTATTTCTATTTTTAGTTCTTTGAGAAATCTCCACACTGTTTTCCATAGAGATTGTACTAATTTACATTTGTGTTCCTTTTCTCTGCATACTTGCCAACATCTGTCATTTTTTGACTTTTTAATAATAGCCATTCTGAGTGTTGTAAGATGATATCTCATTGTTGTTTTAATTTGCATTTCTCTGGTGATTAGTGATGTTGAGCACTTTTTCAAATGTTTTTTGGCCATTTGTATATCTTTTGAAAAATGCCTGTTCATGTTTGCTTACTTTTAATGGGGTTATTTTTTTTTCTTGTCGAGTTGTTTGAGTTTCTTGTAGATCCTGGATATTAGTCTTTTGTTGGATGTATAGTTTGCAGATATTTCTCCCATTCTGCAGGTTGTCTCTTCACTCTGTTGATGATTATTTTTGCTGTGTAGACACTTTTAAGTTATTATTAAGTCCCATTTGTCTATTTTTGTTATTGTTGATCTCGGTTCACTGCAGCCTCTGCCTCCCAGGCTCAAGTGATCCTCCTGTCTCAGCCTCTCAAGTAGTTGGGACTACAGGTATGTGCCAATATACCTAAGTTTTTTTTTTTTTTTTTTTTTTTTTTTTTTGTAGAGATGGGGTTTCACCATATTGCTTAGGCTGGTCCTGAGCTCCTGGGCTCAAGCAATCTGCCTGCCTTCAGCCTTCCAGAGTGTTGGGATTACAGGTGTGAGCCACTGTGCCTGGCCTGCATTTGCTTTTGAGGTCTTAGTCATGAATTATTTGCCTAGGCCAATGTCCAGAAGAGTTTTTCTGTGGGCGGCAAGCCACCCAGGTGCTGAGGCAAGAGACTGAGGGCACGAGCTGTTCCAGTATAATAAAATATATAAAATAACAAGAGTTATACTAGATATAGATCATAGATATGATTATATGTAAGTATCACTAATCATTAGTTTGTAGTAATTACTCTTTATTCAAATAATATAATAATCCCCGCTCTACAATCATAACCTAGAAAAAACCGGGCCATACAGAAATAGGAGCTGAAGGGACATGATGAGAAGTGACCAGAAGACAAGAGTGTGAGCCCTCTGTCACACCTGGACAGGGCCATTAGAGGGCTCCTTGGTCTAGCGGTAATGCCAGTGTCTGTTGCCAAGTGGACTGTGGTTTAGTGGTAGCGTCAGTGCCAAGGAAAAGCACCCGCTACTTAGCAGACTGGGAAAGGGAGTCTCCCTTTCCCTGGGGGAGTTTAGAAAAGACTCTACTACACCACCTCTTGTGGAGGGCCTGACATCAGTCAGGCCTGCCCACAGTTATCTGGAGGCTTAACCGTCTCCCTGTGATACTGTGCTTCAGCTGTCACACTCCTGGTCCGCTTTCATGTTCCATCCTGTACACCTGGCTCTGCCTTCTGACAACAGTAGCAAAATTAGTGAAAGTACTAAAAGTCTCTGATATGCAGAAATAATGGCGTAAGCTGTCTCCTCTCTCTCTCTCTCTCTCTCCACCTTGGCTGCCAAACAGGGAAGGGCCCCCTGTCCAGTGAACACGTGACCCACGTGACCTTACCTATCATTGCAGATGGCTCACACTCCTTACCCTGCCCCCTTGTCTTGTATCCAATAAATAACAGCGCAGCCTGGCATTCGGGGCCACTACTGGTGTCCGCGTCTTGGTGGTAGTGGTCGCCCGGGCCCAGCTGTTTTTTCTTTTATCTCTTTGTCTTGTGTCTTTATTTCTGCCATCTCTCATCTCTGTGCATAGGGAGGAAAACCCACCGACCCTGTGGGGCTGGTCCCTACATCTTTCCTAGGTTTTCTGGAATTTTTATAGTTTTAGGTCTTACATTTAAGTTTTTAATCCATCTTGAGTTAATTTTTGTATATGGTGAGAGATAAGGGTCTAGTTTTCTTCTGCGTATGGCTATCCAGTTTTCCTAGCATCATTTATTGAATAGAGTGTTTTTCCCCAGTGTTTTGTTAACTTTTCAAAGATCAGTTTTCTGTTGGTGTGTGGCTTTATTTCTGATTTTCTATTCTGTCCCCATTGATCTATGTGTCTCTTTTAATACCAGTACCATTCTGTTTTGGTTACTGTAGCCTTGTAGTATAATTTGAAGTCAGGTAATGTGATGCCTCTAGCCTTGTTCTTTTTGATTTGGTTATTTGGGCTCTTTTTGGTTCCATATGAATTGTATGATTGTTTTCCCTAACTCTATGAAAAATGACATTAGTGTTCTGATAGGAATTGCATTGAATCTGTGGATTGCTTTGGGCAGTATGTTCATTTTATTATACTGATTTTTCCAATTCATGAGCATAGGATGTTTTTCTTTTTTTTTCTTTTTTTTTTTTTAACTGTTTCCAACTTTTATTAAAAATACAAACTCACATGTATAATAAACTCAGTAAAACCCAAGGAGAGTAAATACACACACGCATAAATCACACCTAGAAATAGCATAGTGAAACTGTTTGAACTAAAAATAAAGATAAAATCCTAAAAGAAGTCAGAAAGAAATCACATATATACAGAATAATAATAATATAAGAATAATAATAATATAAATCACAAACAACTTCTCACCAAAAATAATAGAAGCTAGAAGGCAATTGTACAATATTTTTAATGTGATGAAAGAAAATAAACTATCAACCTAGAACTCCATATTTAACAAAAATATCCTTCAAAACTGAAGGTGAAATAAAGGCATTTTCAGTTCAATTGAAAGCAAAGAGAATTAATTGCCAGCAAATGTGCACTATGAGAAGTGAAAAAAAAAGTTATCCAAGACAAAGTAAAATAATACCATACAGAAATTCAAATATACAGGATAGAATATTTCAAGGGGACTAAAATTATAATAACATTAGCTAAATATATTTTCTTAATTTCTTTCAGAGACAAAGAGCTTTTATTTTTTTTAATTTTTTTTTTCTTTTCTTTTTTTATTATACTTTAAGTTTTAGGGTACATGTGCACATTGTGCAGGTTAGTTACATATGTATACATGTGCCATGCTGGTGCGCTGCACCCACTAACTCGTCATCTAGCATTAGGTATATCTCCCAATGCTATCCCTCCCCCCTCCCCCCCACCCCACCACAGTCCCCAGAGTGTGATATTCCCTTTCCTGTGTCCATGTGATCTCATTGTTCAATTCCCACCTATGAGTGAGAATATGCGGTGTTTGGTTTTTTGTTCTTGCGATAGTTTACTGAGAATGATGATTTCCAATTTCATCCGTGATGTTTTTCATATGGTTGTGTCATCTACAGTTTCTTTCATCAGCATTTTGCAGTTGTCCTTGTAGAAATCTTTCACCTTCATGGTTAAATGTATTCCTAGGTATTTTATTATTTTTTTGTAGCTATCACAAATGAAATTGAGTTCTTTATTTGGTTTTCAGCTTGATTGTTATTGGTGTTTAGAAATACTACTGCTGGGGTACAGTGGTTCATGCCTATAATTCCAGCATTTTGGGAGGCCAAGGCAGGAGGATCACTTGAGGCCAGGAGTTCAAGACTGCCCTGGGTAACATGATGAGACCCCATATCTACAAAAAAATAAAAATAAAAAATTAGACAGGCATGGTGGTACATGCCTGTAGTCCTAGCTCCTTGGGGGGCTGAGGTGGGAGAATCACTTGAGCTCAGGAGTTTGAGGCTACAGTGAGCCTTGATCACACCATTGCACCCCGGCCTATGTCACAGAGTGAGATCCCACCTTTAAAAAAAAAGAAGTGCTACTGATTTTTGTTAGTTAATTTTGTATCCCGAAACTCTACTGAATTCATTTATCAAATCCAGGAATCATTTATAAGAGTCTTTAGGGCTTTCTAGGTACAAGATCATATCCAAACATACGACCTTCCAAGGTTGAACCAGGAAGAAATTAGTAGAAATCCTGAACAGACCAATAACAAGTAGCGAGATTGAATCAGTAACAAAAATTCTCCCAATAAAACAAAGCCCAGGACCAAATGGAATCACAGCTGAATTCTACCAGATGTGTAAAGAAGAACCGGTACTAATCCTACTGAAACTATTCCAAAAAATTGAGGAGGAGGGCCTTCTCCCTAACTCATTCTGTGAAGCTAGTATTACCCCAAAACCAAAGCCAGGCAAGGATACAATGAAAAAGAAAACTCTAGAGACCAATATCATTGATGAAAATACATGCAGAAATCCCCAACAAAATACTAGCAATCGAAATCCAACAACGTATCAAAAAGATAATACACCACAATTAAGTGGGTTTTGTTCCAGGGATGCAAGGATGGTTCAACATATGTAAATCATTAAATGTGATTTACCACATAAACAGAATTAAAAACAAAAGCCATATGATTATCTCAATAGATGCAGAAAAAGCATTTAATAAAATTCATCTTTTCATGAAAAAATCCTCAATAAACTAGGCATAGAAGGAACATACCTCAAAATAATTCAAACCATTTATGAAAGACCCACAGCCAACATCATTCTGAATGAGGAAACGCCTAAAGCATTCCCTCTAAGAATTGGAACAAAACAAGGATGTCCATTTTCACCACCCTTATTCATCATAATACTGGAAGTCCTAGCCAGAGCAGTCAGGTAAGAGAAAGAAATAAAAGGCATCCATTTTGGAAAAGAGGAAATAATACTATTTCTGTTCATCGATGGTATGTAGTTATCTTTTAAATCAAGTAGGAGGAAAGGGTTACAAACAAGTTACATTTATACTGTCTTTTATATTTACCATTATAGTTATATCTTTACTGGTGCTGTTTATTCATTCACCTGGATTTTCTGTACTATCTAGTGTCCTTTAATTTAAGCCTGAAGGACTCCTTTTACTGTTTCTTGTTAGGTAGGTTTTCTAGTGACATATTCTCTCAGCTTTTATTTGAGAGTGTCTTAATTTCTCCTTTGTTTTTGCAGAATAATTTTTCTGGATATAGAATTCTTGTTTGACAGTCTTTTTCTTTCATGATTTTGCATATGTTATCCTACAGCCTTCTAGTTTCTGTGGTTTCTGGTGAGAAATCCGCTATTGTTCTTATTGAGAATTTTTTTTTTTTTTTTAGATGGGGTCTTGCTCTGTCTCCAGACTGGTGTGTAATAGCGCGATCTCAGCTCACTGCAACCTATGCCTTCCGGGTTCAAGTGATTTGAGAATCCCTTTTTAATGAGTTACTCTCTTGCTGCTTTCACAACTCTTTGTCTTTTGATAGTTTGATTATAATATATTTAGGTGTGGATGTCTTTGAGTTTATCCTTGAAGCTTATTGAGGTTATTGAATGTATAATTTTTTCCATCAGATCTGGGAGGTTTTCAATTATAATCCTTTCATATATTCTTTGTACCCCTTTATTTTCTCTCCTTCTGAGAGTTTCATTATGCATCTGTTTGTTCTTTCTTTCTTTCTTTCTTTCTTTCTTTCTTTTTCTTTCTTTCCCCCTTCCCTTCCCTTCCCTTTTTCTTTCTTTCTCTCATTCATTCATTTATTCATTCATTCCATTTTTGTAGAGATGAGTTCTCACTATGTTGCCCAGGCTGGTCTTGAACTCCCAACCTTAAGCCATCCTTCCACCTCAGCCTCCCAAAATGTTGGGATTACAGGTGTGAGCCACCATGGTTGGCCATCTGTTGGTATTCTTGGTGGTTTCCCACAGGGCTCTGAGTTTCAGCTCATTTTTTTTTTAACTTCTTTACTTTCTGTTCCTTAGATTGGTTAATCTCAGTTGATCTATCATCAAGCTTACTGATTCTCCTGCCTGTTCAAATATGATGTTGAACCACTCTAATGAATGTGCTATTTCAATTATCATATTTTTTAACTCCAGAATTTTTATTTGGTTTATTTTTATAATTTGTTTCTTTATTGATATCTGCTTGGTGAAACAACACTGCCATTCTTTAATCCTTTAGACATGGCTTCCTTTAGTTATTCAAATATGTTTAAAATAGGTTATGTAAAGTCCAACACTGGGGCTTCCTTGGGAACAGTTTCTATTGATTGCTTTTTCTTTCCCTGTGTATGGGCCATATTTTCCTGTTTCTTT
Organism: Homo sapiens; assembly: GCF_000001405.40. Taxonomy (NCBI): domain Eukaryota; kingdom Metazoa; phylum Chordata; class Mammalia; order Primates; family Hominidae; genus Homo; species Homo sapiens. The sequence continues at coordinate 45,667,729 of NC_000021.9, forward strand.
GTATGTGTCATAGTACTTTTTTGAAAACTTTATGTTTTAAATAATATAATGTGGCAACTCTGGAAATCTGATTCTCCTTTCTTCCATTTTTTTTGTTGTTGTTGTTGCTGCTGCTTGTTATAGTAGTTTCTGTTCATTTGTTTATGTAGTGACTTTCCTGAACTAACTCTGTAAAGTCTGTATTCTTTGTCATGTATCTTCACTGACTCTGTACTTGAATAGTTTAGTGGTCAGCTAATAATTGGACAGACGTTTCCTTAAATGCCTGGAATCAGTGAGTCTCATAGACTTTCCCAAGAGACCCCATGTGTGTAACCTACCAGTTTATAAGTGCCTTAGCCTTCATTTTCTGATTGTGCAGAGTCTCAATGTCAGCTCAGTGTGAGAGCTTAGGGCTATCTCAGGGCACTCCAGTTTCTTTTCTGGGCATTCGCACAACCTTGAGTAGGTGCATAGCTCTATGTATGCACCATGGCCTTCTAGATTTCCAGAAATATACAGTTTTTAATACCCTGTGGGCATCTCATTCCCCAGATTTTCCTTTTAAGCTTTTGAGTTAATATATTATTTGTTCCAACTGTTGTCCACTGTCTCAGGTAGTCACAAAATTAAACAATTGTCTTTGTTTTGAAAGATACCTCTAAGGAAAATACTTTTCAGTGAGCTCCGTGTCAGGTCAAATAAATGTAACCTGGCAAGTGGAACCTGTTAGCCATAACAAATAATAAGACTTTGAAGGAGCTCTAACTCTGTTTTGTCCTCTTCTGTTGCTGCCAGGCTGTTGGTTTTCACTCTGATTGTAGGTGGTTGGTTTTCAAGACTACTATAGAGCTGGGGTAGGGTTGGGGGTGGGGGGATGGGAATAGGGCAGGTTAAAATATTACAAAATTTATGTTCTTAGGATATTTAACCATTTTTCTTTAAGAAATGTTCTCCAGATTGTGGCAAGCCTTTGGTTAAATTTCTAGATTTCTAAAAAAAAAGTTGATTTGGCCAATTTTTGGCATTTAAAAATTGCTTTTGGGAAAGAAGGGATTTTTGGAAGTTCTTACTTTACTATTTTCACTGATATCACACTCTCATGTTATTCTTAAAAGATTTTGTTTCCGTATATTGAATTTAATGTTGGCATTATTTTTTTTCAGCACATTGGAGATATATTTCCACAGCATCTGGCTTTTCTTGTTCCTGTTCTGAAGTAAATGTAACTGCTATCCTCTGGAGGTAATCTATTGCCATAAAGGATTTTCCAATTATCCTTAGGTTTCTGTGGTTTCACTAAGTTCCATGCATCCCTGCCTGAGGTATGTTGGCTTCTTGTATCTATGACATGATGTCTTTCATAAGTCTGGAAAATTCACTGCCATTTTCTTCAGCTATTGCTTCTGCATCATCTCTTTTCTTTCTTTCTGGGACTCTGATTAAATTTGTGTTAGATTTCTCACCATATATTCTCATGCTCTCTCTTATATTTCTGGATTTTGGCCACTCCACTTTACTTTGAATATTTTATTTTATTTTGACCTAGTTTCCAGTTCACCAATTCTTTCTTCAGCAGCACTCAATCTGCTTTAAAACCCATTCATGACTTTATAACTTTTCAGTTTTAGATTAAAAAAAATTGAAACTGTTACTTTTTGTAGCTTCTAATTTATTGTTTCTGTTTTTAACTATAGCAACTATAGTTTTAAAATTTTAGTTAAACATATATAACATAAAATTTGCCATTTTAAAGAGTACATTTTATGTGTACAATTCTGTGACATTAAGTACATTCATGTTGTTGTGCAACCATCCATCTCCAATACTCTTTTCATCTTGCAAAACTGAAACTCTTTACACATTAAACAATAACTCCCTCTCCCAAACCCCTGGCAACTACCATTCTACTTTCTGTTTCTATGAATTTGACTACTATAGATACTTCATATAAGTGAAGTCATAAATATTTTTCCTTTTGTGACTGGCTTATTTAATGTAGCGTACTGTCTTCAGGGTTCATCCATGTTGTAGCATGTGTTGGAATTTCTTCCCTTTTTAAGACTGAATAATATTCCATTGTGTGTGTGTGTGTGTGTATATATATATATATATATATATATATATATATATATATATCACATTTTGTTTATTCATTCTTTGATGGACACTTGGGTTGCATCTACCTTTTGGCTATAGTGAATAATGCTGCCATGAACTTGGGTATACAAATATTTGAGTCCCTTGCTTTTACTTAATTTGTGCCTATACCTAGAAATGGAATTACTAGATCATATGCTAATACTTTTCTTAACTTTTTGAGGAATGACTGTATTGTTTTCATAGCAGCTCCGCATTTTACATTTCTACCAGCAATGCACAAGGGTTCCAGCTTCTCCACATCCTAACCAACACTTATTATTATTTTGATAATAGCTATTCTAATGGGTATGAGGTGACATCTCTTTGTAGTTTTGATTTGCTTTTCTCTAATGATTAGTAATGTTGACCATTTTTTCTTGTGCTTATTGCCCAGTAGTATGTGTTATTGAGAGAAATGTCTATTCAGGTCATTTGCCAGATTTTTAATTGGGTTGTTTGGGTTTTTGTTATTATACAAGTGTAGTTGTTAAAATAGACTATGTTGGGTAATTCCAACTTCTTGTCTTTGTAGATATGTTTTTGTTTTCTGTGATTTCTACTCTTTCTTCCTCAATGGGTCACTAATTTCTTTTAGGCTACTAGACATTTGTATTTGCAGAATATTTTGAGGAATAATTTGAAATAATTTGGGATGATTATTGTTTTTAGAGAGGTTTTCATCAGGTACTGCTAAGGTTCTTAAAGGAGCAAGCTTAATCCAGTGTAGTCTTAAGGACAACCGGATGAGTAGAACAAAGGCTCAGTGCTTGGGAGGGCTGACTTGCTTCTGAGGACTTATTCTTTACCTTGAGGGGTTAGCCCTTTGTGGTTCCAGTGCAAATTGAGGGGTGGTTTCTCAGTATCTGATTCATGCTTTTACTCTGTATCTCTTCCCCCCAATTTTTGGATATTTTGGTTAACTTTCAATCCCACAAATTTCAGGGCCTTACATGGTAAAATTTACTTCTTGCTCATGTAACAGTTCACTGTGGATGTACCTCATCAGTGATCAGGTTTCCTCTGTGTGGTGATTCGGCCCAGCTCCTCACAGTGGGTGGTCATGCCATCTGCTACGGAGGTGGCATCCTTATCCTCTAGGCCCAGCTTCCTGTCAGTCCAGCTGGCAGATGAGAGAGCACACATGGAGAAGGCACACATGCTTCTCAGCCATGTTGGCCCAAAAGTGACGAGGACCATGATCTGTATCTCTTCATACTTTCCACTGGCAAGATCCAGTGATGGGGTTCTATCTAGATGCAGGCATGAAATCTGCAGTGTGTTGTTTGTGGTTGACAGTTGCTTCCCAGTTTCAATGCTGTCCTGGGAAAGGGGAGCACAGTTCTTTATGAACAGTTAGTTATCTGCCTCAGTCCTTCGCCTTGGCACACCCTTCTTTCACGACTGTCATGCACTCATCTCTCCAGGGACACAATCCAGAGTTGCCCCAGTTACTGTGTCTTGCACAAAGGATGGATTTCTAGCATTGTGTGGTCTTTATCAAATCCAGTTGTCGCTCTTGTCGTTTGATGACTGAACTGACACACAGGTTGTCTGCTGTTCACACTGTACAATAGTGGAGCCAAACCAAGCCAATTGCAATTTTTAAAACTTCCATTTTGGAAGGGGAGAATGGAAGATAAACATCAGTTCTTGGTCCACAGTTAGAGCAACATCCCATGGGCAAGTATTATGAAGGCATCTATCAATGTTTTCTAAGCAAAGGCCACTAGACACTCACCTGGGAACCATGGGGTGTTGTGGTAAGAGGGCGTTAGAAAGAACCTGTTACAGGATTTGGGCTTTGGTTAGGTGATTTGGGGGAGGGTTCAAGAAAGTGGGATGGTATCAGTAAGTGGGGACAATTTTTTGATGAGTGTCTGTAAATCTTATCTACAAGGAGGTTAGACTGGAGTGAGGTTAAAGCTGTGATTGGTAAAGAAACAGTCATCACTTATGTCAGTGGGGAGAGGGATTTTGACACAATCTTGTTTTTGTCTTCATTCATCATGGTCAGTGTGGCGTGTCTGATTCTTTCACCTTCTATTCTGGGAGTGGGGGCAGGAGAAACTGGTCTGTTGTCCTCCAGGCCTCCTTTCTCTGTCCCTCCATCTGGCTAGGCCTTGGGAGTGCTATGGTTTGAATATTTGTCCCCTCCAAAACTCATGTTGAAGTTTAATCTTAAGATGTGATTGGATCTTGAGGGCTGTTCCCTTATGAGTGGATTAATCTATTCATGGGTTAATGGATTAATGGATTAATGTGTTATCAGGGGAGTGGAATTGGTGACTTTATAAAAAGAGGAAGAGAGACCTGAGCTAGCACACTCAGCCCCTTATTGTGTGATGCCCTGCACCACCTCAGGACTCTGCAGAGTCCCCACCAGCAAGAAGATCCTCACTAGATTCTCCTCCTTGACCTTAGACTTCTCAGCTTCTATAACTGTAAGAAGTAAATTCCTTTTCCTTATAAATTACTGAGTTTTTGGTATTCTGTTATAAGCAACAGAAAATGGACTAAAATAGGGAGTACATCTTTCTTAGGGGTTAGGGGCTGCAAGATCCCACAGCCTGCTTTCTGCTTGTGGAAGTTTGGAGGCCTGGGGTTGTTTTGACAGTCACTGACTGTTTTAGGCTCATGTTTCTTTGGCAATGCAGTTTCTCCCCAATTCTAGTAGCTTCTGATCTATTTGCGTCTGGTAGTTTCATATGCCAGTAACTATAGCCAAAGTTCTTTTCTAGTCTTCCAGCTACTTCATATTTTTGCTTTCTTATGCATGTGTCTCTCCCTACCCAGGGTATCTTGAGGCTTAACATAATACAATAGTCATGGGTGTGGGTGGAGACACACCTGTAATCTCACCTGTGTGTACAGTTTAGCCCTCTCTTCATTGTGGAGTCTTAATGGGTCTTTGCTGCTCAGAACATGTTCAGTCGCATATCTTACTCTTGGGGAGCAGAGGGATAGCTTTTCCCGGATTGTGAGGCCCATATTTCTGGACTGTCTCTAGACGCTTTCCTGTCTCTCTGAAGCCAGCTAGTTTTTGCCTAAGCCCGTGTCTTTCTGTGATGCTCAACTGAGCAAAATGGGTAACAGTGACCTAGACAGTTGGCATTCCTTTTTCTCTTCCCCCTGAGCTGGAGGCTGGGTGTGTGCATTATCTGCCTTCAGGTGATCAAGGGTAAACGGTTTCACCAAATGACATGCACTGTATAAAATAGGTCTTCTCATTACCAGCTGTCTGACAGCAGTTTTTATTATGGTGTCACCCTCTTCAAGGAGCCCAATTCTGTGTTAATTTATTTCTGTTGAAATATGTATTTAATAATAGATAATTTGAAAGAAGAAAATTTCTGATTAGACTCTTTCTTTGGGAATTAATTATTTGACCCATTTTCTACTTCCCTCCGCCTCTCCACTGTTTGGAAATGAAGCTGTACATTTGTGGCAGTTTTCTAAGCAGACGTCACAAAGGTGTGGTATGGCAGTTCATCTTTTTTGTTTTTAACTGTATTAACACTGGAAAATCAAACCTTTTCTGATTTCTTACAAGAAGAAAAAATAAGACACTTCAGTTTTTTTTAAATAAAATGAGATATAAAGATAAACATTTTTGATGAAGAGAAGAGTTTTGTATTTAAGTTGCAGTGATGTGGATAACTCCCAGACTCATCCCTCTCTCTCTGTAGTATCCTACAAGAAGTGCCTGGGCCTTCTTGCTTTGAATCTTTTTCTGCTTTGAAGACAGGCAGAAGTGAATACCTGGCCTGAGCTTCTCCTGGGGCCCTTGTGGAAGCAACATGAGATGACTGATGTGCAAACACATTCAAGAGTGAAGCTCTCTGGGTAGAGAAGACATTATTATTTCATCCTGAAGTACTTTCGGAAGGTAAATGATTTATTTAGCACACTAAGTTCATCCTCCGAGGCCATGTGTTTCTACTATAAGGTACCCAAACCAGCCTTGGAAACTTACAGCATTGAGAGAGGAGAGGTCCAGTGAGCATGTCTCTCTATGAGTTTTACTTAGTTGGGTGCTCTTCTATAGAGTTCTGAGCTCTATTTATAATTATCCTTAAGCAAAAAAGAAACAATCCAAAATGGTGACACAGAGAGTCCAATTTACAGTTATCTGTGGTATAACCCAGTTAATAATCACCATAATACTTAGGGTGCTAGACTGCTGGTTTGAGTTTTTATGGAATTTTGAAGATAATGAGATTTTGTAATGGAACCATGTTTCTCAGTAATGTCTTTCACTGAATTATCTTGACTTGAGTCAAGACAAGACTCAAGAGTGACTTTATTTTAAATGTAAATCCACCATGTAACTTCTGACTAACCCTGAGCCGATAATACCTCCACAATGTTTAGTTGATGTTGTTATTCTTTATGTAGGAAGACCAATTCATTGTAAGTTTTCTTCAAAACAACCCTTGTTGTTGCAGAGATCATAGGCTGTGATGACTGTAGCATCCTACACATATCTTCCAGAGCACTATACTTTCGTTCCGAGATATAAACTCTATGTCTGGGGGTTTGTGCAGAGATCTACCTGTTTGCACCTGCCCAAGACCATGATTCTGTCTGTACATTCTCCAGTAAATCACCCAATACCAACAAACTGGATTTCTCTGTCTCCTTCTTTGGTTTCTTGGCTCCTTTGGTATTTGAGGATTGCTTTGCATATATGGCCCTTTCACAGGATACTTCATTAATTATCTAATTAATTAAACAAATAATAATGAAGTAGGTTATGTTGCTTACTAAAAAATTGATAAACTTGAGGTAGCCATACTTCTCTAGGTCCACTTAGGAAACTGAAAGTTTTGGTTTAATAGTCTTTTTCAAAGATAAGCCATGTATTATTCATATGATTAGTGTGGAGGCTGATATTGAGAGAAGGTGTAGTAGCTTGCTTTTATATGAGGGCACTGGAATGAGATGTGATCCGTAGATTCCCATAGTGGTCTGTGACCCATGCTGGGACTGGCTCTTCTCCTCGGCTCCTGGAACAGGGATCCAGCCCCACATGACTTCCCCCTTCCCTGGCTCAGTTGGATATCCACAGGGGCCTCTTTCTCTTGGACATGCCCCCACCTAGCACCCACCATTTCTATTTCTCTTGCTCTGGATGCCACCGCATCTTCAGGACACAGCTTCTCCTGAGCTGATAGGGATGCCCTGGAGCCTGTGGAGTGCCTCTGTTGTCCAGAGTTCTGTGGTAAGATCCCAAGAAACTTTCCCACCTGAAGAACAGAGCATAGTTGAGGCGAGGTCCTGTGCTTTGCAGGACTTACTGAGGAGACTTTGACCCTGGTCTTCCTTCTGTCATTTCCAAAAGTGAGTATGTGGGGGCAGTGGGGTGGAGGTCAGTTCAGTGAGCACACATGATGGGGAGGCAGAGCCCTCTACCTCTTGGGCAGCTGAGGCTGAGGTCCTGGGCTGGGCCTGTCTGCTTAGTGTCCTTGATGCAGGGATAGATCTTATTTAAGTGAACATGTCCCTACAGACAGGCAGGTACCACCTAGGGAACCCACAGGCAAGGCCCAAATGCTCTTATTTGTGGTCTACATTAGGCAAAGAACCAGATTGGACTATGAAGCCGGAAGGGAGCTTATAACTTCCTGCTGAACAGAGGATAAAAATGTGACCCACTGAGGGCAGTAATAGCTGATGAGCAATCATGGTGGTTCTTACTCCTGGTTGGCTCAGGGCTGGGAGCACTAGGCGTATTGCAGTGCCAGTGAAAGCAGAGCGGGGCCTCAAACCCTCTTTTTTCACCTCTTTTTTTATGCCATAGCAACCACAGTAAGCCTGTAAAATCTCCTGTGATTTGTGGAGTCTCGGGCTCCCTGGAAACCTTTCAGGGGGCTCATAAGGTCAAAACTGTTTTCATAATGATATGGAGCCATTCTTTCCTTTTTCACTGTGTGGACATTTGCACTGATGGTGTAAAAGCAATGGCAGGTGCTTTGACACAAATCAAGACCATGGCACCAAACTCTACTGACAGTCATCATACTCTTCACTGTCACCCACTCGCATACAAAAAGCCAACAACATTTAAGAATGTTCTTGATGAAGTCGTAGGAATGATTAATTTTATTAAATTTTGACCTGTGAGTACATGTGTTTTTAATATTCTGTGAGATGGAATTGAAAGTTTGCATAATGTACTTTGGCAGATGGAACTACAATGATTGTTTGAGGAAAAGCACTTGTGCTTTTTTTGGGTTAGGAGTTAAACTAGCTCCTCTTTTAATGGAACACTGTTTTTACTTTAAAGAACAACTGACAGACAAACCATGGTTATTCAGACTTGTATTTTTGGCATAAAATGTCTGAAAATTGAACTAACTGAGCCTGTTACTTCAAAGGAATTAACTGCCTGTGTTTGTTGCAAATGATAAAATTGAATTTTCAGGCAAAAGTTAGAATTGTGGAAAACTTGTATCTGTCATGGTGAGCTTGACAGCCTTCCAATATAGGCATCACTCATTTTATTGCACTTTACAGAATTTTTTTTTTTAAACAAATTTAAGGTTTGTGGCAACCCTGCATCAAGAAAGTCTTTCAGTGCCATTTTTCCAATAGCATTGCTTACTTCATGTCTCTGTGTCACATTTTAGTACTTCTCATGATATTTCAAACATTTTCATTATTATTATATCTGTTATGGTTATCTGTGGTCAGCGATCTTTGTTACTATTGTAATTATTTTGTGGTGCCATGAACTTTGCCCATATAAGATGTTCTATGTGTTCTGACTGCTCCACAGCCGACCATTCCATCTGTCTGCTTCTCTTGGGGCCTCCGTATGCCCTGAGACACAACAATATTGAAATTGGGCCAATTAATAACCCTTCAGTGGCCTCTACATGTTCAGGTGAAAGGAAGGGTTGCACATCTCTCATTTTATTTATTTTTTATTTTTATTTTTGAGACAGAGTCTCACTCTGTTCCCCAGGCTGGAGTGCAGTGGTGTGATCTCAGTTCACTGCAACATCTGCCTCCTGGGTTCAAGCTATTCTTGTGCCTCAGCCTCCCGAGTAGCTGGGATTACAGATGCATGCCACCATGCCTAGCTAATTTTTTGTATTTTTAGTAGAGGCGGGGTTTCGCTATGTTGGCCAAGCTGGTCTCCAACTCTTGGCTTCAAGTGATCCACCTGCCTCAGCCTCCCAAAGTGCTGCGTTAGCCACTGCGCCTGGCCACGTCTCCCACTTTAAATGAAAAACTAGAAATGATTAAGCTTAGTGAGGAAGGCATGTTGAAATCCCAGACAGGCCGAAAGCTGGGCCTCTTATGCCAAACAACCAGGTTATGAATGGAAAGGAAGTTCTTGAAGTAAATGAAAAATGTTACTCCAGTGAACACACAAAGGATAAGAAAGCGAAACAGCCTTGTTGCTGATATGGAGAAAGTTTGAGTGGTCTGGATAGAAGGTGCAACTAACCACAACATTGCTTTAAGCCAAAGTCCACTCCAGAGTAAGGCCCTAATGTGCTTCACTTCTATGAGGCTGAAATAGATGAGGAAGATATAGGAGAATTTGAAGCTAGTAGAGGTTGGTTCATGGGATTTAAGTAAAGAAGTCTCCGTAACATAAAAGTGCAAGGTAAAACAGCAAGTGCTGATGTAGATGCTGTACCTTGTTCTCCAGAATATGTAAGAGAATAGATGAAGGTAGCTACACTAAGGAACAGATTTTCAATGTAGACAAAATAGCCTTCTATTGAAAGACCATGCCATCTAGGACACCCATAGCTAGAGAAAAGAAGTCAATGCCTGGCTTCAAAGCTTTAAAGGACAGGCCGACTCTTTTGTTAGGGCCTAATGCAGCTGATGACTGTAAGTTGAAGCCAGTGCTCATTTACCATTCCAAAACTCTAGGATCCTTAAGAATGATGCTAAATCTACTCGGCCTGTGCTCTATACGGGAACAACAAAGCCTAGATAACAGCACATCTTTATAGCATGGTTTACTGAATCTTTTAAGCCTTCTCTTGAGACCTGCTGCCCAGAAAAAGGTTCCTCTCAAAATATTACTGCTTATGAACAATGCACCCGGTCACCCAAGAGCTCTGATAGAGATGTGCAAGGAGATGAATGCTGTTTTCATGCCCATTAACACCGCATCCATTCTGCAAGCCATGGGTCAAGGAGTAATTTTGACTTTCAAGTGTTACTACTTAAGAAACACATTTTGTGGCTGAGCATGGTGGCTCACGCCTGTAATCCCAGCACTTTGGGAGGCAGAGGTGGGAGGATCACAAGGTCAGGAGATCGAGACCAGCCTGGCTAACACGGTGAAACCCCGTCTCTACTAAAAATACAAAAAAATTACTCGGGAGGCTGAGGCAGGAGAATGGCATGAACCTGGGAGGCGGAGCTTGCAGTGAGCCGAGATAGTGCCACTGCACTCTAGCCTGGGCGACAGAGCGAGACTCCATCTCAAAAAAAAAAAAAAATAATAATAATAAAATAAATAAATACATTTTGTAAGGCTATAGCTGCCACAGATGGTGATTCCTCTGATGGATCTGGGCAAAGTAAATTGAAAACCTTCTGAGAGGCATTCACCGTTCTCGATGTCATTAAGAACATTTGTGACTCATGGGAGGAGGTCACAACATCAACAAAGTTTGGAAGAAGTTGATTCCAACCCTCATGGATGCCTTTAAGGGGTTCCATCCTTTATTGAAGGAAGTCACTGCAGATGTGGTGAAAACAGCAAGAGAACTAGAATTAGAAGTGGAGCCTGAAGATGTGACTGAATTGCTGCAATCTCATGATCAAACTTGAATGGATAAGGAGTTGCTTCTTATGGATGAGAAGCAGAAAAGTGGTTACTTGAGATGCAGTCTACTAGTAGTGAAGATGCTGTGAACATTGTTGAGATGACAACAAAGGGTTTAGAATATTAATATTACATAAGCTTAGTTGCTAAAGCAGCAGCAGGGTTTGAGAGGACTGACTCCAATTTTGAAAGAAGTTATACCATGGTGAAAGGCTATCAAACAGCATCACATGCTACAGAGAAAACTTTCGTGAAAGGAAGAGTCCATTGATGTGGCAAACTTTAGTGTTGTCTTATTTTCAGAAATTGCCACAGCCACCCCAGCCTTTAGCAACTATCAGCCTGATTGATCAGCAGCCACCAACATCCAGGCAAGACCCCACCACTAAAAAGATGATGACTCACTGAAGGCTCAGATGATTGTTAGCATTTTTTTTTTTTTTTTTTTTTTAGCAATAAACTATTTTTACTTTTTTCTTTGTTGTTTTTTTGAGATGGAGTCTCTGTTGCCCAGGCTGGAGTGTGCAGTGGTGCAATCTCGGCTCACTGCAACCTCTGCCTCCTGGGTTCAAGCGATTGTCCTGCCTCAGCCTCCTGAGTAGCTGGGATTATAGGTGTGCACCACCACGCCCAGCTAATTTTTATATTTTTAGTAGAGACGAGGTTTCGCCATGTTGGCCAGGCTGGTCTCGAACTTCTGACCTCAAGTGGTCCACTCACCTCAGCTTCCCAAAGTGCTGGGATTACAGGTGTGAGCCACCACGCCTGGCCGCAATAAAGTATTTTTAAAATTAAGGTATGTACATTGTTTTTAGACATAATGCTATTGCACACAATAGACTACAGTAGGGTGTAAACATAAATTTTATATGCCTTGGGAAATGAAAAAATTCATGTGACTTGCTTTAATTTAATATTTGCTTTATTATGGTACCTGAAAAATGAACCCACAGTATTTCTGAGATATACCTATATTCTAATATGTGTCTTTTATCACATTTGCAAATATGTCTCCCATCCTGTATCTGCTCTTAATCCTCTTAATCAGGGCTTTTGCAGATAAAATATTTTTAATTTTGATGAAGTGCATATTATCAGTTCTTACGAATCATGTTTGGTGTTAAGTTTAGCCGTAGATCACAAAGATTCCTTCTATTCTGTCTAAGTTTTATAGTTTTACATTTTATATTTGAGTGTGCAATTTATTTTCAGTTAATTTTTCTGTAAGGTGTGAGACTTAGATTGAAGTTCATGCTTTTGCCTATGGATATTTGATTGCTCTTACATCATTTTTTGGAAAGTCTATCCTCTCACCAGTTGCCTTTGCAATTCTCCAAATCATTTGAGAAACTCATTTCTCCAAAATCATTTGGGCACCTTTCTGTGGTTCTCTATAGTATTTTCCATACTGGATTTCTTATATCGTTCCATTGATTGCCATGTCCATCCTTCTGACAATGTCACATAATCTTGGCTACTGTGGCTGTAAGTCTTGAAATTGGGTAGAGATTTCTCTCATTTGCTCTTGTAAAAAATGTTTCAGTTATTCTAGTTTCTTTGCTTTTCCATATTTATTTTAGAACCAACTTCTCTATATATACACACATTTTTGATGAAATTTTAATGAAAGTTGCATTAAATTTGTATAATAATTTAGGGAAAATTGATATCTCTACTATGCTGAATGTTCTTATCCATGAACTTAGTATGTCTCCATTTATTTAGATATATTTGTTTTAATTCTTCAGTGTTTTGTAGTTGTCAGCATAAAATTTCTACACGTTTTGGTGGATTTACACCTAAGTGTGTGTTTATTTTCAGGGATTTTATTATATTTTTAATTTGAGTATCCATGTGTTCATTGATAATATACAAAAATAAAATGAATTTTTGTGTGTTTATCTTTAGTTTTATGACATTGCTGAACTCATTGATTCTAGAAGCTTTTGGTAGGTTCCTTGGGATTTTTTTAGATAATCAAGTCACCTGCAGATTTGGACAATTTAGTTTATCTTTTCTGATCTCTAGGTCTTTTATTTATTTCCTTATTACACAGGTTAGAATTTCCAGCACTACGTGGAATATAAGTGAGCAACCTTGTCCTGTTCCCGATGTTAGGGGAAAATCATTCACTATTTTGCTGTGAAGTATGATGCTAGCTGTAGATTTGTGTAGATGATATTTATCAAGTTAAATACCTTTTTCTCTGTCCTAGTCTATTTGTACTGCTATAACAAAATACCTGGACTTAGTAATTTATAAACAATAGACATTTACTTCCCATGGTTTGGGAATCTGGGAAGCTCAAGATCAAGGTCCCAGCATTTGGTATTTGGTGAGAGCCTTCTTGCTGCATTCTCACATGGCAGAAGGGGCAAATGCTGCGTCCTTACATGGCGGAAGGCAGAGGGCAAAAAAGGGCCTAAGCTAGTCCCCGCCACCCCTTTTATAAGACGTTATTTATTAGGGCAGAGCCCTGATGAGTTAATCACTTCCCAGAAGGTGCCACTCTTAACACCACTACAATGGGGATTTAGTTTCAGCACATTAATTTTAGGGGACATTCAGACCATAGCAGCCTCTATTTCTAGTTTTCTGAGAGGTTTTATCACAAATAGATGTTGGATTTTGTCAAATGCTTCACTACATTGAGCAATAGGATTACTTGATTTTTCTTCTTTAGCCTGTAAATATGAAGTACTACATTAATTGATTTTCAAATACTGGAGCAGTTTTCCATTCCTGGAGTAAACCCCATTTGGTCATGCTGCACAATTCTTTGTACAGAGGCTCCCTGACTTAGGATGGGGTTACATCCTGATAAACCCATTGTATATTGAAAGTGTCGTAAGTGAAAAATGCAACCTGGTCTTTGGTCAAGGAATCACTCTTGCTAAAAGTCTGAAACCTCATGGTTTCATATGACTTTTTCACCATCATAAAATAAAAAAGTCATAAGCTGAACCATTGTAAGTCAGGGAATTGCTGAATTCCATTTTTTAATACTTTGCTAAGGATATTTTGCATCTATATTCATGAGGGATGTAGGTCTGTATTTTTATTTCTTTTGGTAATGTCTTTTTTGGTTTTGGTGTCAGGGTAATACTAACTTTGTAAGATGAATTCAGAAATTTTTCCTCTTCTTTTGTCTTCTGGAAAATATGATAACCAAAATAAAAAACTCAATGGATGGATGGAGAGATCAGAGGAAGGAATCAGTGAAATGAAAGATAGAACATTAGAAATTATCCAATTTTTATATCCAATTATTATATCTATAATAACAGATATAATATAGACCAAAAAAGAACAAAGGCTCAGAAATCTGGGGGGCTATGAAAAAAATTGCTAAGAATCATGTCATCACATTTCAAGAAGAAGAGGAGAAGAAGAGCAAAGCTGAAAAAAGTACTTGAAGAAACAATAGCTAAAAATTTCTGTGGGTTTGTCTGGAGTGAGCAGTTATTTTGTTAAAGTTTTCTGTCTTGCTAGGCTGTCCCTTTTCTGGTCAAAACTAGGTAAAACATGCTTTTGTTGGGGCTTCTTCCCCCTCCCACCCAACATCCATTCATATTTATGGTACTATGAACACCCAGGGAATTCACTATCATGTCATTCCTTGGGTCGCACGGTCTCTAGCTGGTCTGCCTTCCTCTAGTCATCTTTCAGAGTCTATGATTGTTTTATATATAATGTCCAGTGTTTTCAATTATGCTTAGTGGGAGGAATACAGAAAGCACATCTACTCCATCTTCCCAGAAGTGGAAGTTAACCTACAGAAAGATCATTCTGACTAGTATGGGACTGACTGCCTGTAACCAGGCAAAAACTGAAGCAAGAAGACCTATTAAAAACTGAGTGCACTTATCCACGTGAAGAATAATGGTGGCATATGGCCATAGAGTGATAGCAGTGGAGGTGGTAAGAAGTAGCTGGACCCTGAACATAATGTGAAGAAAGTACAGGTAGAATTTGCTGATATATGAGGTATGTAGTATGAGAGGAAGAAAAGAGTCCCAGGGTTTTAGACTGACAAGCAGGAGAATGGCGTGCCATCAGTTGATATAGAGAAAGATGAGGAGGAGCAGGCTAGGGGGAACAGAAGGATGATTGTATTATGTTTTTCAAATGGGAAGTGAAACATGCCAATTATACAGCCAAATCAAGGTGTTAGGTAGGCATATGGATAGCAGCCTGAAGTTTAGAGGATGGAGTCCAGGCTGAAAAGATAAACTGGAGATTCATCAGCCCATAGGAGCTATTTAGAGTCATGAAACCAGGTGAAATCACTAAGGAAGTAAGCTAGAGAAGAGTACCAAGAACCTAACCCTGGGTTTTCCAGTGAGGCCTGGGATAGGGGAAGGAATCCGAAACAAAACAAAACAAAACAAAAATACTGCGTGTCATCAATCAGAGAGCTAGGAGAAAAGAGGATAGAGGTATATCCTAGAAGCCAAGTAAAAAAAGTATTTCAAGAAGGAGGGAACAATGACCTGGATTCAGATCCTGCTGATAGGTCAAATAAGATAGGATTGAGACTTGATCACTGGATTTAGCAAAGTCAAAGAGGCCTTTGGTGATCCCCACAAAGCTGTTTTTGGTGGAGTAATAGGGCAAAATCCACATTGCAGTAGGTTAAAGAAAGAATAGGAAGGAATTGCAGATAATAAATGTAGATTTAGGTGAGTCACTAAGTTCACCTATAATTGAGGATAATGGTGATGCCTTTCCTTCCTTAAATTAATCTTTACGGAGGACTTACTTTGGGTTAGACACAGCAAAGTAAGGAGATCTAAGGTGAAAGAGACTTTTAGGGTTATAGGAAGAGATATAAAAATAACAAGTACATTGGATTGTAACAGGAGATCATAGACAAATATGTATAATACTGCAATGGAATGGCAGATTCTCTACAAAGTCAGGATAGAGTTTTCCAGGGATGTGACACTATACCTTGAAGAAGTTTATCACAGGAATCAATACACGTGAGTGTTTTAAAAATAAGGTGTTGCTGCGCCTGTAATCCCAGCACTTTGGGAGACTAAGGCGGGCAGATCACGAGGTCAGGAGATCGAGACCATCCTGGCTAACACGATGAAACCCGGTCTCTACTAAAAATACAAAAAATGATCCCGGCGTGGTAGCAGGCGCCTGTAGTTCCAGCTACTCGGGAGGCTGAGGCAGGAGAATGGCATGAACCCGGGAGGCAGAGCTTGCAGTGAGCCGAGATCGTGCCACTGCACTCCAGCCTGGGCGACAGCGAGACTCCATCTCAAAAAAAAAATAAAAATAAAAAATAAGGTGTTGCTGGGCATGGTGGCTCATACCTGTAATCTCAGTGCTTTGGGAGGCCATGACAGGAGGATTGCTTGAGACCAGCCTGGTCAACATAGAACCCATCTCTACAAAAAAAAAAAAAAAAAAAAAAAATTGCCGGGTGTGGTGGCACATGCCTGTAGTCCCAGCTTCTCTGGAGGTTGAGGCAGAAGGATCACTTAAGCTCAGAAGTTCAAGGCAGCCATGAGCTATGATCACACCACTTCACTCTAGCCTGGGTGACAGTGAGACCCTGTCTCTAAAAACAAAAGCAAACAAACAAAAAAGTAATAAGGTCCTGTGGAAGTATATGTTAAATCAAGAGGGTATTAAGTATGAAATTTATGCGGTTCTGATGGTGCCATTGGTAAGGAAGGACCTGAGATTAACTCATAAGAGAGATAGAGAATTACTGATTTTACTGCTTGATATAGTGTGGATATTTGTCCTTTCCAAATCTCATATTGAAATGTGATCCCCAGTGTTGGAGGTGGGGCCTAGTGG
Source organism: Homo sapiens (assembly GCF_000001405.40). NCBI lineage: Eukaryota > Metazoa > Chordata > Mammalia > Primates > Hominidae > Homo > Homo sapiens. The sequence continues at coordinate 45,684,470 of NC_000021.9, forward strand.
GAGGTGTTTGGATCATGGGGGAAGATCCCTCATCAATGGCTTGGTGTCCTCCCTGCAGTAATGAGAGAGTTCTTACTCTGTTAATTCACATGATAACTGTTTAAAGAAGAGCATGGAACTTCCCTGCTCCTTGCTTTCTTTCTGTTTATGTGACATGCCTGTTCCTCTTTCACCTTCCACCATGAGTAAAAGCTTCCTGAGGCCTCAGCAGAGGCCAAGCAGATGCTGGTGCCATGATTGTACAGCCCGCAGAGCCATGAGCCAAAACACCTCTTTTCTTCATAATCTTCATAAATTGCCCAGTCTCAGATATTCCTTTATAGCAACGCAAAACAGACTAACACAGTGCTCATAAAATGTCTGTTAAACCAGAGAAATATGAATGGGCAATGCTACAGTTTAATTTTCCATTCTTAGTGTTTATAGTGATTTACATGAGGTTTGATAAATGTTAAGCTATGGAATAAAACACACAGAAGTCTATCTTCCCCACACCCTGCCCCCTGCCACTCTGCTACAGAAAACCATCAATGTATATCCCTGTGACTGTCTACCATATCAGCTTGTTGGCTTGAACATTTTGAGTATTACAAACCATCATCCTAACATTAGATGCAAAGACCAAATGTTACACTTCCTTTAAAAACAAAGAGAGGTGAAATAAGCCAGTCATAAAAGGACAAATAATATATGATTCCACTTAAGTGAGATACCAAGAGTAGTCAAATTCAGAGACAGAAAATAACATGGGGAATGGGTTTTAAAGGTTGTGGGGAAGGGAAAAATGGGGAATTATTGTTTAATGGATACAGAGTTTCAGTTTTGCAAGATGAAAACAGTTGTGGAGATAGATGGTGGTGATAGTTGCACAAAAGTGTGAATGTATTTAATGCCACTTAACTGTACACTTGAAAATGGTTAAGATGGTGAATTTTATGTGTATTTTACCACCACTAAAAAAAATAAAAATAAGAAATACAAAAAGGAAGGAGACCTTTGCCTCTGCCCATGGTGGAGTAACCAGGATAGGACTTATCCTTCTGTTGTGAACAACCAGAAAACTGGAAAAATATATAAAACAACTTACTTCAGACACTGGACAACAGGCTGCACAAGACTGATAAAGATAAACCCTGTAATTCCCAACTTTCTTAGTAAAAGTACTTTTCAAACTGCATGGCAATGAGGGGGAATATAAGCAGAGCCTTACAGCATAACTGAGTTGGTGAAACATAAAAGCTCAGGCAGGCTTAGTTAGTTGGAGATTGTGAAGAGGAGATACATGGAAAGACTCTGAAGAGAAGTAAAATCAGCCCCAAAAATCTGCACTGGGGATTCCTTCAGTCTGTTGCCAAACACTAACCAATAACCAACACATGAGACTCCATGAGGCAAGACAAGAAACAAAAACAAAACAAAACAAAACAAAAAGCCTGTAAGATGAACTTTTTTTTTTTTTTTTTTTTTGAGATGGAGTCTTACTCTGTCGCTCAGGCTGTAGTGCAGTGGCACAATCTTGGCTCACCACAACCTCTGCCTCCTGGGTTCAAGTGATTCTCCTGCCTCAGCCTCCTGAGTAGCTGGGATTACAGGCATCTGCTACCACCTTGGCTAATTTTTGTGTTTTTAGTAGAGACAGGGTTTCACCATATTGGCCAGGCTGGTCTCAAACTCCAGACCTCAAGTGATTCGCCTGCCTTGGCCTCCCAAAGTGCTGGGATTACAGGTGTGAACCACCGTGCCTGGCCTAAGATGAACAATTCACATTGCTCAACAGAGGTTCGGGAGACAATTAGAGTTTTGGCCATCCAGAATGGAGCATCCCTCCTGAACCACCAAGGCAATCAGTAGAGGTAACGGAAAGGTATACCTCAAGAGTAGGTCTAAATTAGCTGTAGAGTAAAAGATACTGTACATCCAACCTAACAAAGCTTAAAAAAGCTGATCCACAAGTAAATTATCTGCATGAAAGAAGACAGTCTACTATTCTTTTAAAAAATAACGACAAAATCCAGACACTTAATGTAATTTTCACAGTGTCTACAGTCATCTAAAGCTATTGGACCTACAAAGAAGCAAGAAAATATGGCCAAAAACAAGAGGAAAAGCAGTCAATAGGAACAGACCCTGAAAGGTAGAGATGATGAACTGTCCAAACAAGGATCTTAAAACAAGTATTATAAATATGTAGAAGTACTTAAAGGGCAACATGAACATAGTATAAGATAAATAGAAGATATATAAAAAAGAGTCAGATGGAACTTTGACAGTGAAATAAATATCAGAAATGAAAACTTTAATAAATGAAATTAACAGCTGATTAGATGTGTAGAAGAAAAACAGCTGTATAACATAGAAATAGAAAAGACCCAAACTAAAACACAAGGAGGAAAAAAGAGCTTCAGTGACCTGTGGAACAGTATCAGGCAGTGTGACATAACCTAGAAGTCCCAGAAGAGGAGGAGAAGAAGGTGTGAAGAAAAAAAATATTTGAAGAAACAATGGCAGGCAATGCCAGAAAATACTTCAAATGTGGTAAGAGCAATAAACCCACAATTTGAAGATGCTTAATAAAACTCAAGAAAGATAAAGAAAACCATATTGAGGCCCCAAAGTGTAGGAGGAGAACCTTAAGCACAGAGGCAGAAATATAAGAATGAATAGGCATGGATTTCTCATCAGCAATTAGCCAAAAAAGAAAAAAACAGTGGACCCACAACTTTAAAGTGCTAAAAGAAAGACTGTCAACCTATAATTCTATTTCCAGAGTAAATATTATTTAAAATTAAGGAGAAATAAAGACTTTCCAGAAAAACAAAAGCTGAATTTGTCACCAGCAAATTTAGGTAATAAGAGAAGTTAGAGAAAGTTCTTAAGGAGGAATTAAAATGATATAGGTGAGCATCTATCCATCAAGAAAAAGAAAAATCCACTATGATAGATATGGATAATACAGTGATGTTGTCAGGGCTGGAGAAATGGAATGCCAAAAGAGAAAGAACTAATAAACAAGAGGAACAAAGAACAGATGAAATAAACAACAAACAAGTAGTAAGTTAGTAAATTTAAACCCAACAGTATCAAAATTATAGTAAAAGTAAATGGTCAAAACATTCCAATTATAAGGCAAAGACAGGATAAAAAACAAGACCCAACAATATGAATAAAACTCACATTAAATATAAAGATACAACTAGGTTAGAAGAAAAAGGATGAAAAAGATATACCATGCAAAGACTAATCGGAGATAAAGACATTTCTTTTTTGTTTTTTTTTTTGAGATGGAGTCTCGCTATGTTGCCCAGGCTGGAGTTGCAGTGGCATGATCTCCACTCACTGCAAGCTCCACCCGCCAGGTTCATGCCATTCTCCTGCCTCAGCCTCCCGAGTAGCTGGGACTACAGGCAGCCACCACCACACCTGGCTAATTTTTTTGTATTTTTAGTAGAGACGGGGTTTCACAGTGTTAGCCAGGATGGTCTTCATCTGCTGACCTCATGATCTGCCTGCCTTGGCCTCCCAAAGTTCTGGGATTACAGGCATGAGCCACCGTGCCTGGTCAAAGACATTTCATAGTGATAAAATATCAGTTTATCAAAAAATATAACAATCCTACTGTGTATGTACCCAAAAACAAGTTTTAAAATACATGAAACAGAATTAAAAGTAGAAATAAGACAGCACTCTTTTTCCTGTACTAAAGCAAGTAGACATGAAATCAATAAGAGAATAGAAGAGTTGAACAACACCAGCAACCAATTTGTTCTACTGAAACTTATAGAATATGCCAGCCAACAACTGAAGAATACAAACTAATTTCAAGAAAACATGAAAAAGTGTTAAATAATAAAATGTTTTCTGACTACCACAAAATTAAATTAGAAATCAATAATAAGGTTATTGATAAGAACATGAGATTCTTCTTATGATTTTTGCAACTTCTGGTAAGTCTACAATTATTTCCAAATATAAAAAGTTCAAAAATATGTGAGATACAGCTAAGGCAGTGGTTACGTAGAAGTGTACAGATGTCAGTGCTGACATCAGAAGAGGAAAAAGATCCCAAATCAATTACTTTAACCTTTACCTTAAGAAGCTAATAAAATAACAGTAAAGTATATCCAAAATAAATAGGAAGAAAATAATAAAGTTAAGAATAAAGATCAATAAAATGAAAAACAGTAAAAAGAATATGAAGGCATAATCATTGTACTTGAAAAAGGCAATAAAATTAATAAACCTTTGGCTCAACTGATCAGGAGAAGAGAAGAAATACAGGTTAAAAATATCAGTAGTGAAAAAGAAGACATCATTACAGATCTTACAACACTGAAAAGGCTAATGATGCAATATTTTATATCACTGAACTTGATAACTTAGAAAAATTCAGTACCTTAAAAAAAAAACAACAACAAAAACAAATTACTAAAATTGACTCATGACACAAAAATCTGAAAAGCTTTAAAAATCCAAGTCCTTAATTTAAAATTTTACCACTAAGAAAACTTGAGGCCCAGACGAATTCTATCAAAAGTTTGAGAAAAAAATAATATTCCTACACAATTTTTTTTTCAGAAAATGGATGAGGGAATACTGCCGAATTTATTTAATTAGGCCAGCTTTATCCTGTCATGAAACCTGGCAAAAATATTCCAAGATAAAAAACACCAGAAAATTTAACTCAGGATCATAGATATAAAAGTCCTTAATCACTGATATAAAAGATGACAAGTATCAGCAAATCAAACTCAGGAAGATAGGTAGGTAGGTAGATAAGCCATCAGGACCAAATGGGGTTCAACCTAGGAATGCAAGGTTGGTTTAACATTTAGTAAACTCAAAATATTAACAATAAAAAAATACTCTCCTATGATCACCTCAATACATGCAGGTAAAACACTTGACAAAATTCAACACACATTGATGATAAAAAAAATTTTAGGAAACAAAAAAAGGGAACTTCTTCAAGCTAACAGGTGGATTTATGAAAATCCGACAATTAACATTATACTTCATGGCGAATGACTGAACGTTTCCCCCTAAGATAAAGAACAAGGCAAGAAGATCCATTCTCACTACTTCTATTCAATATTATACTGGAAGTCCTAGACAATAAAGTGGGAAAAATAAATAAAAGGCATACATATTGGATAGGAATTCACAGATGATCAGATCATAGAGAAAAGGTTATTAAAACTAATAACTTTAGCTAAATTGAGGATACAAGTTCAATATATAAAGCAAACTATTTTTGTATACTAGCTAACATTGGAAATGAAAAAAATTATAAACTGCCATTTATAATAGTACCCCAGAATATGAAACAGGATAAAGTTAATAAAATATGTGTAAGACTTGTATACTGGAAATTTCAAAACAGTGCTAGGAGAAATGAAAGACTTAATACATGAAGAGATTATGATGTGCACTGACTGGAAGACTCAATGTTGGTAAAATGTCAATTTGAATTGATCTACAGATTGAAAGCTATCTCAATCAAACTCTAGCAGGCTTTTTTGGAGGAAGTTGAGAAGCTGAGTCTAAATTTTTGTTTTTAAATGCAAAAGACCTAAAACAGCCACAACTATTTGGAAAAGAACAAAGTTGGAGGACTTGATTTATCTGGTTTCAAATATCCAGTAATAGCATATGATAGCATAGGGATAGGCATGTAGATGGAACAGAACACAGAGTCTAAAAATAGACCCAAGCTTGTATGATCAATTGATTTTTGACAAGTGTCAAGGCATTTCAGTGGAGAAAGGGAAATATTTCCAACAAACTGTCAGAAGAACTGAATATCCATATATAAAAAAAAGAACCTTGATTCTTGCCTAACACTGTATTCAAAATTAACCTGAATATAAAAGCTAAGTCCATGAAACTTTTAGAAGAAAACAAAGGAGAAAATCTTTCTGACCTTGGGGCTTGCTAGATTCTTAGATACATCAACAAATAGATAAAAATAAAAATAAAGCAATACATCAACAAAAGAAAAACTAATTTACATCTCATCAAAGTTTTAAAATTCTGTTCTTTGCAAGACACCATTTACAAAATGAAAAGGCAAATAGAATGGAAATTTTTTTCCTACATATATCTGAAAAAAGGACTATTTCAGAATATACAAAGAACTTTTGCAGCTCAATAATAAGGAAACAACAACTCAATAAAAAATACCAAAATATTTCTACAGATACATCACAGAAGACATACAAATGGCTAATAAGCATATGAAAAAGATGCTCATCATCATTAGTCTTCAGGAAAATGAAAGCTAAAAGCACAAGGAGATATTAATATCTATCATTAGTCTTTAGGAAAATAAAAACTAAAGTTGTAAAGAGATACCGGTATACATCTAATAGAATGGCTAAAATGTAATGAAAATAAGTAGTGATACAAATAGTGGTAAACTGGATCCATCACACAGGGCAAGGGGGAGAGTAAACCACTCAACCACTTTGGAAAACAGTTTGACAGATCCTTATAAAGCTAAATACCGTAGCACTTACCGTATACCACCTAACCATTCCGCTCCCAGATAATTACCCACAAAAAAATGAAAGTATATTCTTATGCAAAGACATGTACAAAAGTGTTCACAGTAGCTTTATTTATAATAGTTAAAAGCTAGGAACAATTAAAAAATCTATCAACAGGCAAGTAAACAAAGAGTACAATACTAACTAATAAACAGGAACAAAATACATTCATACAGTATGGATTCATCTTAAAAATGATGAAAGAAGTAAGCCAGACATAACAAAAGAAGTCAGTACATATCATATGATTCTATTTACATAAGAATATCAATAATTGCCCAGACTGGAAGGTGAGAGTGGGGAATATTGAATGAAAAGGGGTACCAGAGCCTTTTGGGGTGATGTTCTATATCTTGTTTGTGGGGGTAGTTATATATATATATATCTCATATATATATTATATATATATAAAATATATATATCATATATATGTATGTATGTATGTGTGTGTGTGTGTGTGTGTATATACATCACAATTCACTAATCTGTACACCTCAAATAGATGAATTTGATTGTACATAAATTAAACAGAGAGAGGGAGAATTCTGCCCTCAATTAGAATACAGTGAGTCAGAGCAGGCCAACATTACCAATGGAACAAGTGGATTTATAAAAAATGGTAAATTGCAAAAACTGTATTTCTAAAATGATCAAAGCAATGAAGAGTATATGAGCTATAACAACCCTTCTAGATAAGCTAAAAATAAGCCAGTAATTCCAAACATTGCCTAAGAATCACATGTGGTTGAAGCTGAGGGATTCTATGGGAGAAAAGAAAAACCAGCAGAGTGTTTCTGCAGTCTCAAGGTACTACTATAATTGACTGGAAACTAAAGGAGTCCCCAGCACAAGGCTTGTTCTGTCCACCAGATTATCTGGCAAGTTCTGGAACTGTGCAAGAAGCCAGGAGATGGACCAGTGAGATAGAATGGCAACTCTCCCACGTTCTCCAGGTGTCTAGGGGATAGAGTCACCCTGAAGGAAACAGGCCTGCAACAAGTACACAGTCCGTCTTCCCCTCAAGTCATTTTTCCAGATTTTGAATCCATAGTATGTGGCAGGAAGCTGAAAAGATCAGCTCAGAAGCTTTAACTGGCTGAACTTTCAGGACTGAGGAGATAAGGACCTGGAAGGGTCTCAATAAAGAATCCAGGAAGGCCACTCTCAAGTTCAGGGACAAACTAGAGGTTTCTAAACAGAGACCTTAGGTTGTAACTCAAAAAACTAGAAGAAGAACAGCAAAATAATCTAAAGTAAGTTGAAGGAAAAAAATAAGAATGTAGAAATCAACAAAATTTAAAACAGACAAAAAATTGAGCCAAAAGCTGGTTCTTTGAAAAGATCAACAGAATCTATGAGCTCATAGCTAGAATGATCAAGATAAAAAAAAAAAGAAGGCACAAAACATGAATATCAAGAATGAAAGAGGAATTATCTCCACAGATCCTACAGATAATAAAAGGATAATAAGAGAATATCCTAAACAACTTTAGCCAGCGTATTAAACAACTGGGAATAATTGGTCGAATTCCTTGAAAGACTAAAGCTCATTCAAAACAACGAAGCAATTAAAGCTCATTCAAAAAGAAATAAATAACCTGAATAGGCCCATATCTACTATATAAATTCAATTTCTAGTTAAAAACTCTAAGCTCAGAAGGCTACACTGGTTCATTCTACCAGATGTTTTTAAAAGAATTAATACTGATTCTACCCAGACTCTTCCAGAAAACAGAAGAGAGGAAAACACCTCTGAACTCATCTTATGAGGCCAAGAATATCCGGATACCAAAACCAGATGAAGATATTACAAGAAAAACCTACTGACTAATATTCCTCATGTAACTAGGTACTAAAATCCTTAAAACATTATCAAATCAAATCCAGAAATATTTTAAATGGATAAAACATCACAACCAAATGAGGTTTATAGCAAGAACGCGAGGTTGGTTTACTCATTATTCAATGTAATCATCATCATTCAATGTAATTCACCATATTAACAATAAAGGAGAAAAACCAGACAATTATTTCAATAGTTGCAGAAAAACATTTGACAAAATTCAACACCCACTAATAATAAAAATTCTCAGTAAATTAGGAACATACAATAATTTCGTCAACCTGATAAAGGGCATCTATAAAAAACCTACAGCTAACTTCATACTCAAAGGTGAAATAGTGAACACTTACCTCCTAAGACTACCAACAAGGCAAGGATGTCTACTCTTGCCACTTCTCTTCAACATTGTTCTGATACCCACAATAACGTGGGTGAATCTCAAAATTATTATGTTAACTGAAAGAAGACAGACATAAAAAGAGTTTATAGTATATGATTCCATTAATACAAAATACAGACTAATCTAAAATGACAAAAAGCATGTTTTTGTTTTTCTTGGACCCAGAGGCAGTGGAGGGAATAGCCCATAAAGGAACACAAGTAATCTTTTGGGGGTGATGGAAATGCCCTGTCTTAGGATCATACACAACTGTTAAAACTCATCAAATTGTACACTTTAATAGAATATAATTTTTAAGGTAAATCATTCCCCAATAAATTTGATGAGAACAAATATGATTAATATGTTTAAAAACAGGAAAAGAGGAACAAATGGATAAAAAGATGAAGAATTTCAATGCTGACAGAAAACTGTCAATCTAGAATTCTATACTCAGTGAAAATATTTTTCAAAAATGAAGGGCAACATAAATATGTTCTCAGACAAAGATTGAGACAGTCTGTCATAGACAGACCTGCACTATAAGAATACTTTTAGCAAGTTCTTTAGGTTGAAAGGAAATATTCCCAAATGGAAGCATAGAAGAAATGAAGAACACAAGAAAGGGTAAATATATGAACAAATATTTTAAGATACTTACTGCTTAAAACAGAAATAATGTCATATTGAATCTATAACATGTAAAAATATATGACTCTGTCAGTGCAGGAGGGGATAAAGGGAGTTAAACTCTTCTGAGATTTTTAAAGCAGTCTGTAATAAATTATAGTGTAATTGAAATCTCTTAGATAACTACGAAAATGATAACACTAGAATAAATAAAGAAGCTGAGATTAAAACAACGGAATAAAAAATACCTCATTATTCCAAACGAAGATGGGAAAGGGGAAATAAAGTAACCAAAGAACCACAGGACCCAAAAAACAACAAAAACAACAACCAACCAAATAGCAAGATGGTAGAATTAAAATGAACATTTTAGAAATACAAATTGAATGCAAATAGATTAAACACTCCAATTAAAATTCTAAAGGTTGTCTATAGAATAAAAACTATGTTTTGTCTAAAAGAAGCATATTTTAAAAGCAAGGATGTAGTTAGGTTGAAAGTAGACGAGAAAAATCTATACCACTTGAACATTAACCAAAACAAACTGGAATAACTTTATTACTGTAGTCAAAATTGACATTAAGGCAAAATATATTACCAGAGAAAAAGAAGGTCATTGCATAATTATAAAAGGGCTAGTTTAGTGGGAAGATGTAACACCCTGAATAGGCATGCATCTAATATTGTCTCCTTAAAATACAAAAAGCAAAAACAGAACTGAAAAGAGGAATAAATAAATACACAATCATAGTTGAAAACTTTACATGGCATTACACTGAAATTTGTAAATAAATTTAGCAAGGTTGCTGGATAGAAGGTGAATAAAGACCACTCAATTATATTTCTATGTAGCAGCAGCAGTAAAATCAAAAGAACTTCTAGAAATAAAACCAGTGCCTCTATAGTAAAGACAACAGAATATCATTGAGAAAAATTAAAGAATGCTTAAGTGGAGGAATAAATCATATTATTTGAATTGAAAAACTCAATATTATAAAAATATCAGTTCTTTCCCAAACTGCTCTTTGAAACTAAAACACCACGATCGAAATTTCAGCAATTTGTTTTTTTTAGGTGTAAATCAGCATGTTTATTCTAAAACATATAAAGATGTGCAAAAGACTTCGAATAGCACAGGCAGTTGTAATGCAGAATGCCAGTGGAGGATCTCCACCAGCCATTATGAGGATATACTATCAAGCTATAGTAATCAGTACAGAGCCTTGACATAAGATGGAGAAATTGAAATAGAAGAGTCAAGAAACAGACCCACCCAAATGGTGTGCTGTGCCAGTTATCTGTTATTACCTCTTAACTCCTGATCCCACCTGTCTTGGCCCCGTTTGTTGAAATTGGTGCTGGACCCTAAGAAAATTCCTCCTTGACCAGTTGGCATAGTGGTGGGCTTGTCAGCAGAGGGTGCTGGAGGGACACGGGTAGAGGAAGGGGCTTCTCTTCCAGGTTTCAGGGCTTTTGTTCTTGTTTGATGGCATGGCAGCCAGTGGGCAGTTTCTTATCAAGAGTAGCCAGCACCCCAATAGATGACTGCCCAGAGAGTCTCACAGGCACCTCAGCACTGGCTCCAGCCTCAAGTACCTCAGTGAGTTTCTCCAGTGGGTCACAGCCATGCCCTCTGTAACAATGCCTGAATCTCAGACTTGTTAGAGAGACCCTCTTCTGAGTTTCTTCCATTTCTTAGGACTTTCCTTTACTGGCTTTTACATTTGTTATTCCTATATTCTTTACAGTGGCCTTTACCCTTTACCCATCTTGATAGTTAATCCCTTTTACTAGTTATTCTTTTTATTAAATTTTCCCTACTCAAATTACTTCTGTAATTATTGTCTCCTGACTAGAACCTGGTACATAAGGCCACTTGATTTTTAGCAAAGGCACCACCTACAATTAAGCACGAAAAGAATGGTCTTTTCCAGCCAGGTGCGTTGGCTCACGTGTGTAATCCCAGCACTTTGGGAGGCCGAGGCAGGTGGGTCACGAGGTCAGGAGTTCGAGACCAGCCTGGCCAACATGGTGAAATCCCGTCTCTACTAAAAATACAAAAATTAGCCTGACGTGGTGGCACACACCTGTAATTCCAGCCACTCAGGAGGCTGAGGCAGGAGAATCACTTGAACCCAGGAGGCGGAGGTTGCAGTGAGCCGAGATCGCGCCACTGCACTCCAGCCTGGGTAACTAGAGCAAGACTCTGTCTCAAAAAAAAAAAAAAAAAAAAAAAAAAAGGTCTTTTCAATAAATGGAAGTAGAGTAACTGGACATACATACGGAAAACATGAACTTGGACTCCGTCTCACACCAGCCACACTTGGATTGGACCTAAGTGTTAAAGGAATATAGTAACGCTGCTAGAGGAAAATATGGAAGAATATTTTCTTCATGGCTTCAGGGTAAACAAATTTTTCTTAAACCAGACTCAATAAGCCCTACCTATAAAAGAAACAGTTGAGAAGTTGGACTTTATTAAAAATAAGAACTTTTGTTTATCAGAAGACCATTAAGTGAGAGAAATGTGAAAAACGGCATGCACCAAGAAAAGATGTTTGCAATACATATATTAACCAAAAGATTTGTCTCCAGAATGTATGAAAACGACTGCAAGTTAATTTTTTAAAAAAGGCAATCAACAGGCTGGGTGCGGTGGTTCATGCCTGTAATCCCAGCACTTTGGGAGGCAGAGGTGGGTGGATCATGAGGTCAAGAGATCGAGACCATCCTGGCCAACATCGTGGAACCCCATCTCTACTGAAAATACAAAAATTAGCTGGGCATGGTGGCGCACGCCTGTAGTCCCAGCTGCTTGGGAGGCTGAGGCAGGAGAATTGCTTGAACCCGGGAGGCAGAGGTTGCAGTGAGCCGAGATTGCGCCATTGCATTCCAGCCTGGCCACAGAGCAAGACTCTGTCTCAAGAAAAAAAAAAAAGGCAACCAACAAAAAATGGGCAAGAGCCTTGAGCAGACACTTCACAAAAGGGGACATTGAAATGTCCAGTAACTTATAAAGAAGTACTCAGTGCTGTCAGTGATCCAGAAAGTACAGATTAAAACCACAGTGAGGTACCACAATAGCCTTTAGAAAGGCAGGTGTGAAAAAGACAGAAAATGGCAAGTGCTGGTGAGGATGTGGAACAACTGAATTCTTATATGCTGCTGGTTGATTGTGACCTGCTTTGACCACTTTGAAAATATGTCTGGCAAGTATCTACTTAAAATAAACCTACACCAACCATATGACACACTAGTCTTCCTTCTGGATATATGTGCAAGAGAAATATGCACATATGTTGGCCAAATGATATCTATAAGAAATTTCCTAGAAGCTTTATGCCTAATAGTGAAACACTGGAAACATCCCGAATGCCTGTCAGCAGTTCAACTGTTTTAGTTAAACAAACAAGCAAATTATGGAACATATGTACATTGGAATACCACATGGCATAAAAAATTACTCTAAATACTCTAAATATCTTTCTAAATTTATGCTCCAGCACAAACTTGTGGAGAATACACTCACTAATAATTTAATTTTTAAAAACTTTTCCATCTTAATCATACAAACCACTTAAAAAATATCACAAAGTTGCCAGATGCTATGGCTCATACCTGCAGTTCCAGCACTTTGGGAGGCTGAGGCAGGAGGATTGCTTGAGTCTGGGAGTTTGAGACCAGCCTAGACAACATAGTGAGATATCACCTCTACAAAAAATTTAAGAATTAGCCGGGTGTAGGTGTGCACACCTGTGGTCCAAGCTACTCGGAAGGCTGAGATGGGAGGATTGCTCGAGCCTGGCCGGTGAAGGCTGCAGTGAGCCATGATCATGACACTGCACTCCACTGCACTCCAGCCTGGGCAACAGAGGGAGACCCTGTCTCAAAAAAAAAAAAAAAAATTACAAAGGAATTATTCTCCTACTTATCTTATTAATAAGACAGAGACAGAACATGTAGCCATGGCTCATTTTTGAATCAGCTGTGTCCTACTAGTTTCCAGAAAGTCCAGAAGACTTCTCCTCTGTTGTGTGAGCCTCATAAGTGGCCAGGGGTAGATATCACACAGGCTGAAACATCTCAGTCATCAGACACCAGATGCTGAGTCCCCATCTGGCCCATCCACCTTCCCTACACACTACTTCCCATGCACCTTATCCTGTTGTCTCACCTGGGCTTCACAATTTAGTCCCTGGGAGATGTGAAAAACAACTTTTTTCTATTTTACAAGTTAGAAAACAGGAGTCTAGGGAATAAAATAATAATAACTCTCCCTTACTGCAACATCCCTATGTGCCAGGCCTGTTCCACAGACTCTCCAAGATTAGGCTGAGGTACCATCCTCTTGGGGCTCCTTCCCCTTCTCCAAAGTGCCCACCTCTCTGACACTCCACATTGTTTGTGGAGTGTGTGCTCTTCTCTGATTATGCATACCTGACACTGTATGGCATTGAAGACATTTGTGTTCATGCATTAGCCTCCCATTATGGGGGACACATGCTTCTTGAGGATGGGGGCTGTCGCCCACCAAGCAGCTACCAGGACAGGGCTTTTCAATAAATAATTTGTTGGGCTGAATTTCTAGCATCACGTCTCAGAGCCTCAGCCTAGCAGGGCTCTCTTGGGGAGAAGGGATCTGGGGATCATCTGATGAAAGCAAGGACCAGCATGTGACATAGAGGAAAAGAAAGAGCAGTCTACGTGAGGTCTCTGGTCTGGTGCAGTGACAGCACTCATTCCAGAAGAGCTCTTGGCCAGGAATGTGGGAGCCAAAAGGCTGATTAGCTCATTGCTGCACTGCTGGCAAACATGCTGGCCTCTTGGCCCAGCCCCAAAAGAATATGATGTGAACATTATGCACCATTAAGCTGACTCAGAGAACAAATGACTAAGTTTCCCATAATCAAGGAGATTTTGGCTTGGCCCTTCTTCATTTTGATGCAACCTGAGTTTAATGCATCATGATGAATGATTCTGGTCCACACCAAAGGAAGTGTCTTTGCTGTGGGGTGTGTTCTTAGCCAGTCTTGCTTCACGGCAGGGGCAGGGAACATTTTACTGCCTTTCTAATGTTCTCCCAGCTATTCAGAATCCTCTGTGAACACTTTTCTCCAATAGCAAGCTATAAAACAGGTGATTCTGTTTATTGGAGCTGTGCTATTTAAAGACCAGCTTGCTCATTAACGTCACCTGCCACATCCCTGAGCTTTATGTAGCAACTCAAACATGGCTCACAAATGGAGGAAAGTCTTCATACCCCAAGGTAATGAAAGATGTTAGAGGGTAATAAAAGAAATAAAATGGGCATAGACAACCTAATCCACACCTCTAAGTCCCCAGCGAGGCATGGCCTAGGGCTCTCCCAAGTGACCTAGAAGCTAACAATTCCACATCACTTTCTGCATTTTCATTATTCCTTCATCCTGGAGACCTTTTGTGGAGGGCACTGACTCCTGCGATTGATTCTTGAATAGCAGGAGACGATGGAGATTAGAAGATAAGCCAGAGTTCAATCTGCCCTCCCTCCACTGCACTCCAGTAGAGCTTTCAACCAACACCCGCTTCCTGTTTGTTACTAACAGCAAACCTCAGTGCCATCCAATTTAGAGAAAGAGGCAGTAAGAGAGTCCAGAGTCACATATAGCTTGTCATATCTGGAACTCTAGCCCTTACCCAGTGTATTAGTCTGTTCTCACACTGCTAATAAAAACATGCCTGAGAATGGACAATTTACAAAAGGAAGAGGTTTAATTGAAGGACTCACAGTTCCACATGGCTGGGGAGGCCCTCACAATCATGGCAGAAGGTGAAAGGCATGTCTCACATGGCAACAGACAAGAGAAGAGAGCTTGTGCAGGGAAACTCCCTGTATAAAACCATCAGATCTTAAGAGACTTATTCACTGTCACAAGAATAGCATGGGAAAGACCCACCCGCGTGATTCAATTATCTCCCACCAGGTCCCTCCCACAACATGTGGGAGTTTCGGGACCTACAATTCAAGATGAGATTTGGGTGGGGACACAGCCAAACCATATCATTCCGCCCCAGCCCCTCTCAAATCTCATGTCTTCACATTTCAAAACCAATCATGCCTTCCCAACAGTTCCCCAAAGTCTTAACTCATTTCACCATTAGCTCAAATGTCCACAGTCAAAAGTCTCATCTGTCAGGTTTTCTGATTTCATTTCTGTAGTCAAGAAGCTGAGGGACAGGACCCATGCATGCCAGTGACAATGTTTGATGAGTCTGGTGGGAGGCTCTGCAATAGCAGGAAAAGCTCCCTGGGTGCTTCTGCTCTGAGACAGGAGATCTAAACCAGATGATTTCTCAGGACACTTGGATTACTAATATTCTGTGGTCAATGATGCCCTTAGGCCCTGAAAAATCCTGTCTTTTTAGAAAGACAATCATATTTAATGTGTTCTAGGGAATAAATCAGAAACTTAGTCTTACGGTTTAAGGAATTTTCTAATAATGATCTGGAAACTGAAAGGGAACGCATTAATCAGAATTCTCTGTTCCCTGGATTCCCAATAGAAGAGATGTTCCTGTATTTCCACAAGGAGCCCTGGAAGCAGCCCACAGATGGAGAGGACTGAGGCCAAGTGAGGATGAGTACACAGCACCCCCTGTACTGTGATCTTGGGCCTGTGTCCCACACCCTCCACAGGGACAGTTCCTTCTGCAAGGTGCCCGCCCAGCAACAACCACCTCTCCGGTGCTAACAGACCTTTTTTTTCTCCACTGCGCAGTGTGCCATAGGTATCCCGTGCATGTGAGTGAGCCAGCCAGAGAGCTCCATGTCCCGATACCAGGCAGTGAGATGTGAATTCCTGTCTAGGGCTGTAACCTGCCAGACTGCTTCCAGCCTACATGAAGGCTGGTCACTCCCTCCTTCTCAGGCACTGCGTCCCTCAGCCCAGAGCCTTCTGTAGAGAGCTGCTGTGGCTCCAGCTTTCCCATCTCCTCCACCATTTTACATCTTCTTAGGCAGCCTTTCAGTGGAGAGCTTGTCCTACCAACATTTTCTCCCTCCTAAAGTACTGAAAAAAACCCTTAGGAGCGAAAAATCATCTGCAGTATCCCTGATCCCCTTCTCAGAACAGCACAGTGTCCCCACCAAGTGCTAATAAATGTTGTTGGATAACAGAACAATTTGGTTTAAATCTCCTCTCACAGAGCAGAATCGCCTGGAGGGATTTTGCCTTGAAAATTAAATTCTGATATCAATTTCTAAAATTATTTACAATATTAAAGTTGAAATGAATCCATCACACAGTTTCCTTCCAATGTTAGTCTTTCAAGTGAACCTACTTTCCTATTAGCAGTCACCTAAAAACAAATAAGCAAACAAACAGGTAACTCAGTCTTCCCTCTGACTCAGTGTGAGGAAAGGGACAGGCAGCATCTGGTGACAGCTTACTTCAGTGGGTCTCCATGGTTCTTCACCAAAACCACTTGTGTTTCCTCTTCAAGCACCACAGTATCCTATGACACTAGGCCAGTGGGCTCTCAAACTTTTGGAATTCAGGACTCCTTTCCTCTCAACTTCTTAAGTTGGGTTCTATCTATTGATAGTTACATTACTTGAAATTAACACAGATATTTTAAAATTATTCAGAAATTCATTTACAATAATAATGAACCCATTATATAATAAAAACATTTTATTATTTATTTATTGAGACAGTTTCATTTTCTCTTTTTGAGACAGACTCTTGCTCTGTTGCCAGGCTGGAGTGCAGTGGCACAATCTCGGCTCACTGCAACCTCTGCCTCACAATCTCAAGCAATTCTCCTGCCTCAGCCTCCTAATTAGCTGGGATTACGGGTGTGCGCCACCACACCAGCCTAATTTTTTATTTTTAGTAGAGACGAGGTTTTGCCATGTTGGCCAGGCTGGCCTTGAACTCCTGACCTCAAATGATCTGCCCAATTTGGCCTCCCAAAGTTCTGGGATTACAGGCATGAGCCACCTCACCCAGCCCCAAAATAACATTTTAATAAAAAGAACTATATTTTATAAAACAAAAATAAATTAGTGAGGAGAATTTCTAGAACTCTTTAATGTCAGAATTACTATGACAGCTTGATTCTCCTATGTCCTTCTGCATTAATCTGTTGCGATACATTGTTCTGATTGAATTATGTGAAGAAAACCCAGCCTCACATGAATAGGTGGCTAGAAACAAGAGGAGTATTTTCATAGCTTTATCAGATTATTGTAGATGTTCTTGTTAGATAGGGCGTCAAAACTTGACAGGTGGTAGTTTCTTAAAGGTTAGTTGCAACATGGAGTCTGAAACACTATCAGTAAACTTGTAGTATTTTATTACAGCCCATTGTCTGTCAGTCTTGCCCTGCAAACAAATATTTTACTATGCATGATTTTCATAACATGCATTAGTCATTTGGAAATATTATTCACTGAGTTATGAAGATTTTCCTAACGTTAACACATTTCTGTATACAGTGTCAAAAAAAATCACTTGATAATTTCACCACTAAGCTCATCAGAAACATCAGGTATAGGCAAATCTCGGAGCTATTGCAGGTTATGTTCCAGACCACCACAATAAAGCAAATATCAAAGCAAGTCACATGAATTTTTTGGTTTCTCAAGGCAAACAAAAGTTATGTTTACACTCTAGTCTATTGTGTGCAATAGCATTATGTCTAAAAACAATGTATGTGCCTTAATTTTAAAAATACTTTATTGCTAAAAAATGCTAATAATCATCTGAGCCTTCAGTGAGTCATCATCTTCTCACTGGTGGAGAGTCTTACCTGGATGTTAATGGCCGCTGACTGATCAGGGTGATGATAGTTGCTGAAGGCTGGGGTGGCTATGGCAATTTCTGAAAATAAGACAACACTAAAGTTTGCCACATCAATGGACTCTTCCTTTCACGAAAGTTTTCTCTGTAGCATGTGATGCTGTTTGATAGCCTTTCACCACGGTATAACTTCTTTCAAAATTGGAGTCAGTCCTCTCAAACCCTGCTGCTGCTTTAGCAACTAAGCTTATGTAATATTAATATTCTAAACCCTTTGTTGTCATCTCAACAATGTTCACAGCATCTTCACTACTAGTAGACTGCATCTCAAGTAACCACTTTTCTGCTTCTCATCCATAAGAAGCAACTCCTTATCCATTCAAGTTTGATCATGAGATTGCAGCAATTCAGTCACATCTTCAGGCTCCACTTCTAATTCTAGTTCTCTTGCTGTTTTCACCACATCTGCAGTGACTTCCTTCAATAAAGGATGGAACCCCTTAAAGGCATCCGTGAGGGTTGGAATCAACTTCTTCCAAACTCTGTTGATGTTGTGACCTCCTCCCATGAGTCACAAATGTTCTTAATGACATCGAGAACGGTGAATGCCTCTCAGAAGGTTTTCAATTTACTTTGCCCAGATCCATCAGAGGAATCACCATCTGTGGCAGCTATAGCCTTACAAAATGTATTTCTTAAGTAGTAACACTTGAAAGTCAAAATTACTCCTTGACCCGTGTCTTGCAGAATGGATGCGGTGTTAACGGGCATGAAAACAACATTCATCTCCTTGCACATCTCCATCAGAGCTCTTGGGTGCATTGTTCATGAGCAGTAATATTTTGAGAGGAACCTTTTTCTGGGGTACAGTGGCTGGGAGAGGGTGAGTTGGTCTTGAAGGGCCTTGGAGGCCGATAGGAGAATTAGACTTTTACTCCGTGGGAAATAGGGAGCCATTGCAGGGTTTAGAGCAGAGCAATGACATGAATAGACTTAGCCTGTAAAAGGAGGATTGTGCCTGCTGTTTCGGGGGGCATGAACAGAAGAAGGAGCACATTCATCAGGTAGGATGGTGGTGGCTGTGACCAGGGTGGCAGCAGTGGATATGCATGGTGGCTGGGTTCTGGGTGTAGTTTGGTGATACATCTCCTGGGGCTTGCTCATGAACATGCATGTGACATGAAAAGGAGAGGCATCAAGAGTGGCTCTTGGCTTGATAGCCTAGCAAGGTGGCTTTGCAGTTGTCACATGAGGTTGCAGTTTGGACATGTCCTGTGGTGGATAGCAATGGAATGTTACATGTTAGCAGGGGTTTGGGAGAGAGGACCAGGACATGGAGATGGAGGTTGCGAGTGGTTGATGGATGAAATTACCAAGTAGGGAGTACAAGGAGAGACGAGGATCCAGGATGGAGGCTGGCCCTCTGGCTGATGTCAAGAGGTCAGAAGGGAAGACACGTTTATCTTGAGTTGGGAAGAACAAACTGGTCAGCTGGAGGAAAGCCAAGGGGCACTGCCCAGCCGCTGAGTGGGTGGTGGTGAAGGTCATATCAGATGCTGGGGATGGCTCCAAGGAGACTCTGGTGGCAACCCTGAGCAGTGTGGAGTCAGTGGTGGCTGGGAGAAGGGCCATCACTGCTGGGGTGGAGCAGAGCCCTCAGGAATGAGGGGAGTTGACATAGTTTGTCTGCAGAAAGGAGTAAGGAAACATGGTGGTTGGTGGGGGAACTGGGAACAAGAGCAGGAAGTTTTAAAATGCAGGACATGCTATCCTCTGTTGCTGTGGTCTGCGGGCCAGCTGCAGACTGGGAGGCCGCAGCGTCTGCCCCCATTTTCCTGCTCTCCCCTGGCAGAGGCGCCCCAGGGGGCTCCAGGGGAGTGCTGTCTGCTGCTGGCGGTGGGGGGCGGTGATCGGATATGGGAAGGAGGGAGACATGGAGACATAAAACATTGTCTAAGTGAAGGGCAATCGTATTTGAAGTAATTTGAAGATTGACAGGAAATTCATAAAGGGAATATGGAGTTCCGTTTACAACAGCAAGAGATGCCTTGTCCATAGCTTCCTGACCTCTGGAAGAACAGAAGTTGCTGCTGGCAGAGTTCCAAAACATGAAAATGTAAAATGGAATTGAATAATCTCTCCTAAATCAATTTTGTGAGCCAAATGACCTAGAGAGTGATGTGATACAGTGCAGGTAGACGACACAGGGCGCTGCTGTCTGCTGAATACATGATGGCAGTTGATTCTGGAGATAACCAAATACCAGCTTCCCTTTGGTCTCTGGAGCCTGGTTTCTACCATTAGCCTCCACAGAGCCCATCTTGGGGAGGTGTGCCTCTTTTTTCTGGCTTCGGTGTGCTGATTCCAGAGTCTGTTGTGAGGGTCACCTTGCTGGCTGTGAGGAGCTCTCTCTCTGGGCCCAGCCGGAAGGCCCTTGCAGCCTCTTTTCAGGAGCACTGGGCTGTTGCTTTCTGTGCAGCATCGTGTGGATGCATCCTCTGAGTGAGGCTCATTTGCTTATGTGAGTTCCCTTGATCAGCCAGGTTCCCAGGGAATCTGTGGAGACTGGCTGTGTCAGCCACTGAGGCCAAGTGAGGGCTGTTGCTGTTTGTACTTATCCAGGGACACCTTCAGCTTGAGGCCCCACCCTTGTGAGCAGGGGCCTCAGTGAGCATCTTAGGGTCTCTGTGTGAGGTCACAGTAGGACCCAGACTGGAGATGTGGGCACAGTGGGTAAGTGACACCAGGGCTGGGACAAGCAGAGCCCCTCCTCGGCTGAAGATGTCCCCTGTGCACATAGAGACAAGGGCTCCTGCAGCTCCCTGGGGAGTCTAGCAATTGGTGGCTGTGTTTTCTCTGGGGATTCTTTACTGGGCGTGCACTTCTACCTGGCTTGACCTGCTTAAGGCATGTCAGGGTGCTCCTGTCTGTGAATTGGCAGGGAAAGTGCCTGTCAGTGTGGACCCAAACAGGGAACCTCTGGGCACCTGTGGTTGCCACAAATCAGGGATCCGTGGATGTTTTCTGTCAAGTCCTGGATAGTAAATATTTCAGGCATGAGGGTCACATATGGTCTCTTATAGTCTTTTTTTTTCCCCCTCTCAGCCTTTTAAAATAATAAAAATCATTTTTGGTTCATAGGTTGTACAGAAATGGTCTGTGGGCCATGGCTTACTGACCCCTGCTGTGAGCCCAGGAGGCAGGAATAAAATACTGACTTGGCCATGGTGCTCACTAATTCAGTCTCCATAGAGGTGAAGGAGGCACAGAGCACGTCCCTTGTTGGGACAGATCATTCTTTTGCACATGTGTGTTTATGTCAGTGTGAAAGTCAGTTTTGAAGAGGACCCTCCATCTTTCTTACAGCCTTTCACCATTCAAGACACTCAGTTGTCAAAGAGTCTTTTCCACCTTTACATTAGCAATGTTGTGTTTTAGAAAATCCTCCTCATTGCTGCAGTACATCAAAGGTAATGAATTTGAACAAACTTTCTCCTCCTGGAGCAGTCTTCTCTACTCTGACTACACATTAGTCATCTGGGGGGCTTTTGCAAAACAGCAGTGTCCAGGTCCCCTAACCAGGAAAGTCGAATCTCTTGGGGGCCCTGACATCACTGTGTAGCCGGAGGAAGAGCCCTCTGCCCAGGCTCACAGCATCTAGCAGCAGGTTCATTGATTCTGAGTGTGCTGCCTGGATGCCCAGTCTGGCTGACGTTACAGTATGCAGAGTCTCTTACACATTGGGGTGTGACAGGAGCTCACTATTGCTGCTAGTGCAGGCTTCTCCTTTCCCTCCCTCTGCTCTCTCCCTCCTTTCTCTCCCTCCCCTCTCCCTCTGCCATCTCTCTCTACTGCCCCCCTTTCCCTACCTATCTCTATTTCTCTCTCTCCCTCTGTATAGCTCCCTCCCCAGTCCCCACTGCTGCCCATGTACTGTAAATGCTCTAGAATTTAGGAAAGATTTTTGGCTTAATCAGCAAGTGCTGGTTCAATTAGCACAAATCCCAAATGACATGAGGAGGTCTTTCAGCATTTAGGTTGAGAAGCCCTAGCCAGGCAGAGGGAGGCAGGCTGATGTGGAGCATCCACCATGTGCACTTAGGGTGAGCACGCTGCCTTTCAGATGTCAGGGACACCAGTAAGCCCCTGTTCTCTCTCTGCTTCAGTTGATACTGTTTCAGTTCCCAGTGGGACTGACATCTAGGAATTAGGTATTTACTTTAAAAAATATTTCTCTCTGCAACTTGGATCAAACAAAGTTCAAGAAACTGCTTAGAAAGAGGTTGGTAAAAAGATGACAGAAAATCTCTTGGTTATGAGGCTTGTCAGCAAGTTTATTTTGTCCTTTTCTGTAACTTTTATTTCTAGGCCCCTAAGGTCAGCTTCTGCTTGCTCTTCATGCTGACTGAGTGTGCACGTACATTATTGATAGCAGGAGCGGGAAAGGAGTAATGCTTTCTACTTGGAAATATTCCCTGATAGAAGCCTTGAAATTGGAATACTTTTTTGTCTCTGGGGATCTAGGTCAGTGCTTCTGAAACTTTAGCGTGCACGAGTCACCTGGGTTTTTAAAATGCAGATTCTGGCTGGGTGCAGTAGCTTATGCCTGTAATCCCGGCACTTTGGGAGGCTGAGGCGGGTGGATCACCTGAGGTCAGGAGTTCAAGACCAGCCTGGTTAACATGGTGAAACCCCGTCTCTATTAAAAATACAAAAATTGTCTGGGCGTGATGGTGGGAGCCTGTAATCCCAGCTACTCGGAAGGCTGAGGCAGGAGAATCGCTTGAACCTGGGAAGCAGAGGTTGCAGTGAGCTGAGATCATGCCATTGCACTCCAGCCTGGGAGACAAAGTGAGACTCCGTCTCAAAAATAAATAAATAATAAATAATAAAATAAATAAAATGTAGTTTCTGACCCAGTGGATGTGAGGCGTGGGGATCTGCATTTCCAGTGAGCACCTCTGTCCACACTTGGTGAGGCTTTGGGCCATCATTGCATGTGATCCTTGACTGAGGCATAATCAGAATGATTCCAGAGGACATTTGCCAAATACAGAGGTATTATTAGGAGCATAATATCCAAATAGTGGAGGTGATAGTCCTGCTTCTCTGTGTGCTGCCTGCCTGAACTTGGACTCCTGGGAGAGGCAGGGAGAGAGTGGGGCCATCACTGGCACGTGCAGACAATGGAAGTGTCAAGACCCCACGCTGAAGCATCTTCTGAACTGCAGAGCTGAGCACCCCAGGTGTCATCTTGACTGCACATGTAGCCCCAGGAAGCTGGTCTTCCCAGGTGAGGAGGATGACCTGAGAAGCTTGCTCAAGGTCACTCCACTGGTGTCAGGATTTAGCCCAGGTATCTTCAGTGGCAAAGCCGACGTTCTGCTTCATCACTGAATAAAACTATGGGACTGAGGAAGTTTAATTCTACTGAGATAGCCTGACTCAGCATACCCTACTTCCCTCCTTCCTAGGGGTTCCACATGCCGAAATTGGGAAAAAGCTTTAGACTGGTTCTATGTGAAAGGAGGATGTTTGGGATCACCATGTGGGTACTATGGGGGAGGGATAGGTTGCAGCTTTTCTTCTCAAGGGCTAGAGTGGTGCTCTGGTCTCCTGAAGGTATTCCTGCAGAGGGTGGGCCACTTTATGGGAGGAGGTGTGGCAGGAGGGTCAGAATCTGCATTTCTGCCCAATTCCAAGGTCAAATTGCTGCTGTGAGAGTTCAGGGATCCTGTGAATCCCCATGGTTTCTGACCCCCTGAACCCTTGAGGAACACTGTTGATCAAGAAGCCAAGGAGGGCAACACCACTGTTTTGCTGCTTAAGTTTGGAAACCATAGAAATCTTGGAAGCTGACAAAGGATTCTCCTAAAATTCAGGAAACAAAGTGAAAGGGATCACTTGTAAAACATAGCTTCATATAAGCAAACTTCATGAGATAAAGAAATAAAAATCAATGTCTCATTTAAATAGAAAAAGAAAAGCTAGCAACCGTAGCTTGCAGCAGGGGTGGGAGTTAATACAATGAGGGGTTAATCCCTTCAAAGATTCAGAAATACTTTTAGGGAATTAATGTCCAAGATCTAATGGCATATTGGTGACTGTGATTCATGTGGGTTCCGTAGAGGCTTTTAGACCCTGGCTCTGTTTCAAGGGCGGAAGAATCCTTTGTTCCCCGTAGGAGCATTTGCACTGTTCACACACATGTCCAGTTGTCCAGAAAGCTCTGCATATGGCTGGGCGAGGCCCCCACTGGCAGGCCCATGTGTGTGCAGAGGCCAAGGGACCCAGCATGGATGAAGAAGCTGGCCTGAGCTTCAGTGCCTGGTAGATGTGATTTCAAAGACTGGTTTCCTTGCTTGCTAGCGGCAGAACTTTTGGACAAATGCTTAGCCTTTCTGGGCCTCCGTTTCCCCATTTGTAAAACAGAAACAACAGTCCATGTCTTGCTGAGCTGGCATGAGGAGAGCAGCCATGCAGAGGAAGTGCCTGGCATGCTGTAAGTTCTCAGCAGAAGGGGCTGCTGTTATGGCAGGGTCCAAAATTGCTAGCCTGTCTTCGGAACATTCGGCCTCTTAAGCTGAGTATTCACTGTAAGAATTAAGAAATATTTTGGGGCAAGGCTGACATTTTCTGCTTCAGTTGTGACTAAGTACATCACATACCTTAGTCAGAGGAGAAACACTCTATATCTTAGATACATGGCATCTAACTGGGTGCCTCAAATGATGAAATATTGAGTACTTCCTGTAAACTTGGACTTTCTAGGTTCCTCTTCTAAAGACACCATCACCGTGACCTCTGCAATGTCAGTGTCTGAAGATAGGCGACGACTTTTCAGAATTTGGCACTGCCGTGAGAGCTGCTGTTTTCCCAACATGTTCAGACTAAGACGGGGACCTTTTTTTTTTCTTTAATTGCTATTTCTTAATATTTTTTCTGATTTTAGAATGGTGTTAGATTTACAGAATTATGATGAGGATGGTACAGAGAATCTTTGTAAACCCCACATCCAGTTTAACATCTTACATCAGTAAGGGACATTTGTCATAGTTAATGGACCAATATCAGCCATTATTATTAACTAAAGTCCATACTTCAGATTTCTTCAGTTTTCCCGTAATGTCCTTTTCTGTTCCAGGATCCTAGCCAAGATCCCACATTATATTTAATCATTGTGGTTCCTCAGGCTCCTCTTGGCTGTGACAGCTTCTCAGACTTTCCTTGTTTTTGATGACTTTGACAATTTTGAGGAGGACTGGGCAGGTACTTTGTAGAATGTGCCTCATTTGGGATCTGCTGGGATCTGGTGTTTTCTGGTGATTAGTTATGGGTTTTGGGGATGAAGACACTGAGATAAACTGCCAGTTCTATCACTGTCAGTTTATGTCAAGGAAGCTCACTGTCAGCATGACTCATCACTGTTCATGGTGACCTTGATCACCTGGCTGAGGTGTGTTTGTCAGATTTCTTCACTGTAAAGTGACTCTTCTTTTTTATTATTATTATTAGTGTTATACTTTAAGTTTTAGGGTACCTGTGCACAACGTGCAGGTTTGTTACATATGTATACATGTGCCATGTTGGTGTGCTGCACCCATTAACTCGTCATTTACCATTAGGTATATATCTCCTAATGCTATCCCTCCTGCCTCCCCCAACCCCACAACAGTCCCTGGTGTGTGATGTTCCCCTTCCTGTGTCCATGTGTTCTCATTGTTCAATTCCCACCTATGAGTGAGAACATGCGGTGTTTGGTTTTTTGTCCTTGCGATAGTTTGCTGAGAATGATGGTTTCCAGCTTCATCCATGTCCCTAGAAAGGACATGAACTCATCATTTTTTATGGCTGCATAGTATTCCATGGTGTATATGTGCCACATTTTCTTAATCCAGTCTATCATTGTTGGACACATGCTGCTATAACGACACATGCACACGTATGTTTATTGCGGCACTATTCACAATAGCAAAGACTTGGAACCAACCCAAATAACTCTTCTTTTTTTCTCTGTCTTTCCATACTGTACTGTTTGGAAGGAAGTCATCTTGTGTAGTGCACACTTAAAGGGTGGAGAGTTGTGCTCTGCCTCACTGAGGATGGAGTGTCTGTATAAATTATTTAGACTAGTATTATCTTGGGAGATTTATCTGCTCTCACACTTATTTATTTTTCCAATCATTTATTTATTTAAGCATGAACGCATGGATTTAAAAACAATTCTTGGGTTTATAGTTCCATGTTGCATTTTTTTTCTCTCAAATTGCTCCAGCTTTGCCCATTGGGGGCACTTTCAGTTGGTTCCTGTGTCCCTTTGACATACCCACATCATTGTGTGTGTGTGTTTTGTTTTTAAGCACCTCTTTCCTTTCTGGTACTACTGAAAGTGATGATGCTCCAGGCTCATTTTGTGTATAGTATTTCCTGCCCTTGTGCTAGGATCAGCCATTTATCCAAGGAGTCCTGGTTCCTTTTATTGGAGAATAATATAAGAAACCAATATCTAGGTGCTGAATGTATTTGTTGCTCTGGGAGTTTTGTTGCTTTTAGGCCATTTTAGCTGACAGAGCAAAGGAGATATATGTTTGTATACTAACTAACCTGTATATATGCACATGTCTATAGATATTTCTATATGTAACCATCTGTATCTTTCTTGAGCTAACCTGTGTGTATATACATCTATAGATATTTCTATATGTAATCATCTGTACATTTCTTGAGCATTAGTTCATACTGACATTTGTAACTTGAATCCATTGCCACACGGATTATTCTAGCCTTCTCCCCTTGCTGGCTTCTCACTCCAACAGTGAGAAACTGGTTTGCACCATCCACTATTGATTTACTTAATTGTTCACCTTTAGTATACATGTATAGCAGTATGAGGATTGTTATCTTGTACTCCTTGGTAAACAACTTTATCAATTAGAGTACAGTGCTTATGTACTTCAGTGCTTACAGTTCCTTTTTCCTTCAACCTTAGAGATTCTACTCATTTCTAAAATGACTTAGGTCAGCACCTTATTCTCCAACCCCTTTGTTAAGGTTGTTTAATATATTTTTAATACAGTTAGATTGTTTTGTCACTTTCCGCATCCTGTCTTGAGATTGGACATCCTAAATGACGTTTTAAAATAAAGTACATACATTAAGGTTTAATTTTTGTGTTGTAAAGTTCTATGGTTTTTGAGAACTGCTTAATGTCTTGTAGTTATCATTAGAGTATCATACAGGGTAGTTTCACTGACCTAAAAATCCCCTGTGCTTCATCTCTTTATCTCTGCCCCTGAATCCCTGATAATCACTGATCTGTCAACCATCTCTATAATTTTGCCTTTTCCAGAATGTCATATAGTTGGAGTGATACAGTATGTAGCTTTAGTGGTATGCATTTAAAGTTAGTCTGTCTTCATATCTTGATAGTTCATTTCTTTTTATCACTGAATAATATTCTGTTGTATAAATATACCTTGATTTGTTTATCCATTCACTTATTGAAAGATGTCTTGGTTGCTTCCAGTTTTTGGCGGTTATGAATAAAGCTGCTATAAACATTTGTGTGCAGGTTTTTGTGTGGATATAAGTTTTCAATTCATTTGGGCAAATACCAGGGAGCACAATTGCTGGATCATATTGTAAAAGTATGTGTAATTTATAAGAAACTAGCAAACTCTTTTCCAAAGTGGCTGTACTATTTTGCATTTCCACCAGCCGTGAATGAGATTTCTTGCTGTTCTACATCCTTGCAAACATTTAGTATTTTCAGATTTTTTGATATTAATAATTCTAACAGGTGTGAGGTAGTATCTTGTTTTAATATGCAGTTTCCTAATTTTGATGTGTTTAATGTGGTGAGCCAGTTTTGAAAACTGACTCTTCTGTACCTCTTTCAAGTAAATTTTTACTTTTCCAAATGACTTGTCTCCGAATCTTTACTGACACTGTACACGTTGGTTTGTGGTCAGCATCTTATTAGCCTGAGCTATTATATACTAATTATGATGATGATTATTATACATTTCTTGTGAGGGTTGCTCTTTCTTTCATTTTTTTTTTTTTCCTATTGAGACAGGGCCTCACTCTGTCACCCAGGCTGGAGTGCAGTGGTGCAATCATGGCTCACTGCAGCCTTTGACTTCCTGGACTGAAGTGATCCCCCTGCCACAGCCTCCTGAGTAGTTGGGACCACCTGTACACACCACCATGCCCAGCTAATTAAAGAAAATTATTTGTAGAGGTGTGGTCTCACTGTGTTGCCCACACATTTGCCACTGTGGTGTTGTGGTCTCAAACTTCTGGGCTCAAGTGATCCTCCTGCTTTGGCCTCCCAAAGTGTTGGGATTACAGGTGTGAGCCACCTTACCTGGCCGAGGGTTGCTCTTTCCATGAGTCATTTACACTGAACTATTAATGCCTTTGCAGGAAGCTACAGAGGCCAGCTTCTAGGACCACGTGGGAATTTTGGGATAAAATGTATTATCTAGACTTTAGGAAATTACTTCCAGTAGTAATGAATTCCAGATTTCAACATGCCACTACTGCTAAAAAGTTGTGCTTGGTGTCCGTTTATCTTCCAGATAAAGCACCGCCAGCAAGCCCCTTCCTTGGCCTCGCATTCCAGATCTTCTCGCATTGGCTTGTAGGCTCTCTCTCTAGCTTGACCTACCATTTCTCCCTTTTAGTTGGTTTATGCTCCAGACAAACCGGGATGAGCCGCTGGCCTTGCTCTTGCTTTCCACCTGCTAGGACTGCCCTTCTGCAGACTGCATAAGCAGTCCTGCCCACACAGCCCCATACAGACACACCTCGTCTGTCCATGCGGAGTTCTTACCTACCCAGGGCCTGCTTTTGAATGTTGTCCCTCACTAACGACCACCTCATGAAGGCAGAGTGAGATTTCTTCCTTACTTTGCACATGGTTATGCATGTACCTGACCCTCTTCTTGAGACAGTGTGGGCTCCCTGAAGATGTGCCTGCACCTGCTGACGCCATGCTCCGCTACTTGCATGGTGCACGAGGGAGCACAGGACAGGCTGCACGCACTCCTTAGAGCACCTGCCATTCCAGCAGCCTCTCGATGGTGCTGGTGCTGATGAGAATGACGCTGCAGATGTGCAGCCATGTGAGTCTGCTTCATTGTCTCCTCCCAGAACTTTCCCAAAGGAGGAGCCAGTGCTGTTGTCTTGGCCCTGCTTCTGATTTCTGTTTTCTTCATTTGCATGCAATATTTTATTGTTGTCTTATGAAAGGGGCCTGTTGCCAGGACAGCTAGGGGTGGGGTATGTGCAGAGCCACTTGGTCACACTCCAGTTGTGTTCTTCCTTTATTTCAGTTTTGGGGATGGGAGAATATAAACGTTGTACACTTCTGTCCTCTTGTTTTGTCTTTCCTCTAAGGGCTAGTAGTTCCCACACACTCTTCTGAATGTACTGCCTATGCTCTGTGTTTTCGTTCTCTTCAGCGTGGTTGGTTGCGCCTCCATTTCCCTCACTCCTTTGGGGTCTCATCTCTTCTCTCGACTTTAAATACTGGCTGTGCTCTGATGACTCTTGCTCTGGGACTCTCCCATCAACTCCAGACTAATTTGTCTCAGTGCTTATTTGACATTTCCATTTGCAAGTCTAATAAGCATTTGAGACTGAATATGTCCAAAACTGAACTCTTGACCATTCCAGGACAGCTCCTTTTTCTGGTTGCTTAGGCCAAAAGCCTTGGTGCCACACTGGGTTCTACGTCTCTTAACCCTTAGTCCCATCCTCTAGGAAACCTGTTTCAGGGAACACACACACACACACATGCATATGCAGAGTCACAATGATGAAGCTCACATTACAAGGTATTCATAGACTTAAAGGAAAAACTACAGATAAGATTATACATTTGAAAATCATATAACTTGAAAGGGATTAATATCAAAGATCTAGAAAGAATAAGCATATAATAGATAAAAGGCTGTAAAATGACAAGTCAAATTGAAGAAGCCAGAAAGGATATAAGTATATGAAAACTTCATTTTTGAGACGAATCCATGAAATGTGAATTAAAACAGTGAGATACCATTTCACATTCATCAGCTTGGCAGGCATGAAGTCAGTTAATATGTACTGGTGAGATGTGGGGACCTTGCTCTTGGGAGTGCACATTTTTATAACCACTTTGGAGACTATTTTGGAGGCACGTTTTCAGGTAAAGTTGAAAATGTGCACATAATATGACCCACCGATGCCATTTTCAGGCATTTGCTCTAGAAGAACTAGTGGATGCCCATGGATATGGGCCTATGGTGTTTGTAAGAGCAAAACACGGTTTAACTGTTCTCAGGAAGGGGAACTGGACATTTGTTTTATTCACATAGTCAAAAACTATTCAACATTAAAATGAATGAATTAAATCTATGGGTATCAAAATGGATAAATCTCAGTAACAGTGTTAACAAAGCAGGTTGCAAAAGGATAAGTGCAGTTTGGTATTGTTTTTGGATATGCACGTGGCTGGTGAAGATATGTACACGTGAATGTGAGTACTGATTTGCCATCTCTAGATTATATGGTTTCCTTCCTATACAGAGGGGTATCAGTGGAGTATAGGGCTTCGGTGGTATCTGCAAGCATTTTTAAAAGAGATCCAAAGCAAATCAAAATGTTGACAACTTTTTAATCTTCCTGGTAAGTATATCGATGTCTATTATGTTTATTTTTTGAATTGAGGTATAATTTGCATACCATAAAATCTACCCATTAAAGCGTACAAGTGAGTAGTTTTTGGTATTAATATATTTACAGAGTTGTGTAAGTATTATCACTAATTTCAGAACATTCTTTATACCCTGAAAATAATCCCATGTACATTATCAGTCACTCTCCATTCTTTCCTTCCCTGAGAAATGGGAATGAAAATGCCAGAGTGTTTTCCAAATTGGCTGCATCATTTTGCATTCCTGCCAGCAATTTATGAGTGTTAACAATTTTGCATGTCTTCACCAGCACTTGTTATTGTCTGTCTTTTTGATTATTACCGTTCTAGTGAATGTGAAGTAGTATATCAGTGTTATTTTGATTGGCATTTATTTCCCTGATGACTGATGATGTTGGAAAGCTTTTCATGTGCTTACTGGCCATTTGCATATATTTTCTGGGGAAATGTGTATTCAAATCATTTTCCCATTTTTTAAGTGAGTCATGTTTTTATTGTTCTAGGAATTCTTTTTTATATTCTGGATACTAGTTCCTTATTAGATTTGCCAAATTTTCCCCTTGTTCTGTGGGTTGACTTTTTACTTTTTTGATCATGTCCTTGCAAGCATAAAAGTTTTTAATTTTAAGCCCAATTTATTTATTTTTTCTTTCATTGCTTATACTTTTGGTATCATATCTAGGAAACCACTGCCTAATCCAAGGTCACATTTTCATATTTTTCACGTTTTATTCTAAGAGCTTCAATAGGTTTAGTCCTTAGGTCTTTGATTCATTTTGAATTAATTTTCGTATATAGTATGAAATAGGGTTCCAGATTCATTCTTTAGCATGTGGATATTCAATTGTCCCAGCACACTGGGACAATTATTAAAATGAATAGTGTTTCTCCATTGAATTGTCTTGGCAGTCTTAGTCAAAACCAGTTGACTATAAATGTAAGGGTTAATTTGTTGATTTCCATATCTATATATGGGGAGGGAGAGAGAATATATCTACATCATTATACCCTGAATTAGTCTGCTAGGGCTGCCATAACAACATACTACACTGAATGGTTTAAACAGCAGAAATGTATTTTCTCATAGTTTTAGAAGCCAGAGGTCTAAAATCAAAGTGTTGGCAGCTTTGGTTTCTTCTGGGGACTCTCTCCTTGGTTTGGAGATGACATCTTCTTGCTGTGTCTTCACTGTTCTTTTGCTGTAAGGATACCAGTCCTCTTCTTGTAAGGACACTAGTTCTTTTGGATTAGGGCCCCACCCTTATGATCTCATTTAATCCTAATTATTAATACCTCTTTAAAATCCCTGTGTTTAAATATAGTGATTTGGGGGATTAGGTCTTCAACACATGGGTTTTGTGGGGATACAGTTCAGTCCAGAACATGCCCATATGACAATGTATTGAGTGCTGTAGCTTTGTAGTAAGTTTTCAAATTGGGAAATGTGAGTCTTCTGACTTTGTTTTTCTTTTTTAAGATTGTTTTGGCTATTCTGAGTCCCTTGAGTTTTCATATGAATTTTAGAATCAGCTTGTCAATTTCTGTCAGAAAGTTGGCTGGGATTTTTATAGAGATTGCATTGAATTTGTAGATTAGTTTAGGACATATTGCCATCTTAATAATATTACATTGAACATAGGATGTTTTTCTATTTATTTAGGTTTTGTTTAATTCCTTTCCCTTTCTTGTAGTTTTTGGTGTATAAGTCTTGCATTTTTAAAAAATTAAATCTATTCCTAAGTTTTTTATTATTTTTGCTGCTATTACGAATGGATTTTTTAAAATTTTATTTTTGGATTGTTCATTGCTAGTGTACAGAAATACAATTACTTTTTGTATATTGATCCCTGCCACCTTGTTGAACTTTATTATACTAGTTTTTTAGTGGATTTCTTAGTATTTTCTATATACAATATCATGTCATCTCCAAATAGAGATATTTGTATTTTTCCTTTTCAGTCTGGATGCCCTGTATTTCTTTTTCTTGCCTAATTGTCCTGGCTAAAACCTCCAATACAGCGTTGATTGTACTGGCAAGGGCAGGCATCCTTGTCCTGTTTCTCATCTTAGGGGAAAAGCTTTCAATCTTTTACTATTGTTCATGATGTTAGCTGCGAGTTTTTCATAGATATCCATTATTAAGTTAATAAAGCTTCCTTTTATTCCTAGTTTTTTTGAGTGTTTTTATCATTAGATATATTGAAATTTGTCAAATGCTTTTTCTGTGTCTACTGAGATGATCATGTGGTTTTTGTCCTTTATTCCATTAATATGATGTATTGCATTGATCGATTTTTGGATATTAAGCCAACTTTGCATTTTGGGGATAAACCCCACTTGATTATAGTGTGTAATCTTTTTTATATATTGTTAGATTTGGTTTGCTAATATTTTTGTTGTGATGTTTTACATGTGTATTCATAAGAGACATTGGTCTTTGGTTTTCTCTTGATGTCTTTGTTTGGGTTTGGTATTGGGCTAATACTGGCCTCATAAAATGAGTTGGGAAGTATCCTTTTCTTGTCTGTAATTTTGAAAGAGTTTGTGAGGGGTTGTTGTTAATTCTTACTTAAATGTTTGGCAGAATACGGTAGTAATGCCATCTGATCCTGGACTTTTCCTTGTGGAAAGTTTTTTGGTTACTAAACCTCTTCACTTGTTTTAGGTTTGTTCAGATTTCTCTTTTATCTAGAGTCAGTTTCTGTAGTTTCTGTGTGTTTCTAGGAATTTGTTCATCTAGGCTTTTTGTTGATATAAAATTGTTTATAGTATTTTCTTATAATCCTTTTTATTTCTGCAAGGTTGGTTGTGATGTCTCCTCTTTCATTCCTAATTTTAATAATTTGAGTCTTCTCTCCTTTTTTTTTTTTGCTAGTCTAGGTGAAGATTTGTCAATTTTTTGATCTTTTCAAGAAACTAACTTTTGGTTTTGTTTTCTATTCTGTTTAATTTCTATTTAATTTCTATTTCTATTTAGTTTCTTGTTGCCATAGTATTTGTTGTTTCCTTCCTTCTGCTTGCTTTGGGTTTAGTTTTCTCTTGTTTTACTAATTTCTTAAGATGGAAGTTTAGGTTATCGAATTGAGATCTTGCCTCTTTTTTAAAGGTAGGTGTTTACAGCTTCGAAAGACTCCTGTCCTGTTCTGCCGCTTCCATGCCAGCCAGGCTGCTGGTTCTCATTGATTGCTGGGCTCTTGGTTTTCAAGGCTTGGATGCAGCTCGGGGGAAGGGGATGGAAGTAGGGTAAGTTAAAATGCCACAATGCTCACTGTTCTTACCAAGGTCCAGTTGTTTTTCTTGAATCAGTGATCCTTGGATTGCTGCAAGCCTTTGATGAATTTCCAGAGCTCTTAAAAAGTTAATTGTGACAATTTTGCCAGGGTTCTCATTGCTTTTATGGAGAGGTAAGCTGTTAGTGGTTATTACTCTGCCATTCTCACAGATGCCATCTGCGTCCTATGTTTTATAATGAACACTTTTCAAAAAATGAATGTGATTGCCACAGGATATTTTATGAAAATTGATGAATGGCTTCTAAATGTCACAAGGGGATAAAAGCATAAGACTGGCCAACAGTTTGGAAAAGAACAGCAGTGGAGAGCTGCCTATTCATCTGATATCAAGATGCTCTGTAAAATAAAGGAGTGGAAACAGTGTGGGACTTGTGCTAAGCAGGGCCAAGCAGCAAATCTAGAGCCCAGCTAATGGGACGGGAGGTCAGTGTGTGAGAAATTTCCGTCTTGGGTTAACCCTGGCCTGGCTGAATTCGGGGAACAAGCCATGTTGTGTGATTAGCTCAGCTGTATCTGGCTGACCGTTCGTAATCCTCACCCTGCAATAAGGTTGGCTTTACCTCAGAATTAGAGCTGAGGCAGTTTGGGAAGGGGCTTCTCAGTGGATGCGAGTGACTTGGGGCCGCTCTTGGGGATGAAGGACAGAACAGCAAGTGTTCTCAGGGAGGCTAGAGGGGCCATCACTGAGAGAGTTAAAAGAAGACAACTGAGGAACTGAGAAGTGAGAACAAGCCATACCCGGTGGCAGGAAATGTGTGCAGAGGGTTTTTAGTGTGTCTTCTCCAAGACATACTGATATGGTTAGGCTTTGTGTCCTCACTCAGATCTCATCTTGAATTGTAATCTCCATTACCCAAAATCCACACATGTCAAGGGCAGGACCAGGTGGAGGTAACTGGATCATGGGGGTGATTTTCCCCATGCTGTTCTCGTGATAGTGAGTGAGTCTCACGAGATCTGATGGTTTTATAAGCATCTGGCACTTCTCCATCCTGCCACTCTGTTAAGAAGGTGCCTGCTTCTCCTTTGCCTTCTGCCGTGATTGTAAGTTTCCTGAGGCCTCCCCAGCATTGTGGAACTGTGAGTCAATTAAACTTCTTTTCTTTATAAATTACCCAGTCTCAGGTATTTCTTCATAGCAGTGTGAGAATGGACTAATACACATACTAAGTCATGAACACCAAATCTGGAAACTAAAAGATTGCCAGATTTTTGAACCTCTATAGGCAAAATCATTACCCACCAAATTCCAGGGTCAGTAAGAGGAAGTGGAAACCTGTTCTGGCCTGAGGGACAAGTAGAGAAGGCACCTCCAGATGACTTGCCAGAGATAAGCCAGCAGGACAATTGCAAAGGTCTTTAACATCCACCAGTCCTTTATGCCTAAAGAGGAATACTCAGTGCTGCTTGTACTTTATTTAGGGCTCAATATGTTAAAAATATTATACTCGAGTTCTGGGATACATGTGCAGAACATGCAGGTTTGTTACATAGGTATACGTCTGCCATGGTGGTTTGCTGCACCCATCAACCTGTCATCTACATCAGGTATTTCTCCTAATGCTATCCCTCCCCTTACCCCCGACCCCCTGACAGGCCCCAGTGTGTGATGTTCCCCTCCCTGTGCCTATATGTTCTCATTGTTCAACTCCCACTTATGAGTGAGAACATGCAGTGTTTGGTTTTCTGTTCCTGTGTTAGTTTGCTGAGAATGATGGTTTCCAGCTTCATCCATGTCCCTGCAAAGGACATGAACTCATTCTTTTTTATGGCTGCATAGTATTCCATGGTATATATGTGCCACATTTTCTTTATCCAGTCTATCAAACCTGCATGTTCTGCACATATATCTCAGAACTTGAGTATAATAAAAAAGTAATAAAAAAAGAATCAATTTTTAAAAACAATTTAAGCAGTGTGAGTAAATTATTCTTTTAAATGCCTTAGCAGTAAAAGTATTCACAAATACAATAATTGTAAAATTTATTACTACATTTGGAGTTTTGAAAACACC
Source organism: Homo sapiens (assembly GCF_000001405.40). NCBI lineage: Eukaryota > Metazoa > Chordata > Mammalia > Primates > Hominidae > Homo > Homo sapiens. Next base: position 45,720,657 of record NC_000021.9, read on the forward strand.
TTCACTGTAGTTTAATTCTCCATCACCTCTGTACCTTTACTCTTGTAGGGTTGCAATGGTTTTGACAGATGCTTCTCTTACCTCTCTGGTGCAGATAACGTCCAGCAGCTCAGCACTTGCACACTGACCAGGAGGGTGCAGGCTTCATGTTTTAGACCAGTTAGTCTGGGACAGGTGACTTGGTTGCATGTTCTAAGATGATTTGGACCTTGACTTCAACGTGAGCTCCTGCTTCAAACTTAAACAAGAATATTACTTATTCTCTCCAATGCCAGGATGGCCATAGCTTGGCTGGGTGTGGGGGCCCTTTCAGCTGCCACTTTGTGCTGCCCTGTGCTGCCCCAGATGTTTGAAGGTACCTTGCTTTCTGGTCAGAACATTCTGTGTGTCAGGCCCTCTGATTTTTTCTTGCCTCAAGTTGCGGAAGCAGCTACTTGGCCAAAAATTTTTGCATGTTTAGAAAGTTGTATTTGAGGCCAGGTGCAGTGGCTCATGCCTGTAATCCCAGCACTTTGGGAGGCCAAGGCAGTAGGATCACTTGAGGCCAGGAGTTTGAGACCAGCCTGGCCAATGTGGCGAAACCCCATCTCTACTAAAAATACAAAAATTAGCCAGGCATGGTGGCGGGTGCCTGTAGTCCCAGCTACTCGGGAGGCTGAGGCATAAGAATCGCTTGAACCCAGGAGGTGGAGGTTACAGTGAGCCAAGATCGCGCCACTGCACTCCAGCCTAGGCGACGGAGTAAGACTCCATCTCAAAAAAAAAAAAAAAAAAACAACTCTTGGCTGCAGGGCTGACCGTGAGTATTTGAGGAGACCACTTTTGGTGAGAGAATTGGAAATAAACCTTTTGTGGCCTCGAGTTCACAATGATTTCCACAGCTCCTGACCCCAATTTAATTATTATTAAATGACTTATTATTAGGTTCATTTTAAAGTTATTCTAATATTAAAGACACCAGAATTTCTTATCTAAATGTATTTGCTTAAATTTGTTGAGCTTTGGCCAGAAGCTACTGGTACCACTTTATTTTCATTCTCCGTGTGCTCCATTTGGTCCACTTTGTCACTTTCCTGTCGAATTTCACAGAGGTCCATAGACAGGGAGGGGACTGAGTCTTACTGTTGATGAAGCAAATGTATGTGCATTGTTCTTTGACGATCTCATCTGCATGTATTTTGAGAAGGCTGATAAGATAGAATTTTGGCAAGAAATCACAGAAACTGGAGTCACTTTGCGTGTCTCAGAGGACTACTGTAGGGAAGCAAGCTTCTGGGGGCTCTTTGTTCAAGTATATGAGAAGCTCTAAAAATATTTATGCACTTTGGCTGAAAATTCTGTTCTTACGGCTTTATCTTCAGGAGATAATCGGATAAGCACTAAATTTATGTACAGAGTATGTTCACTACAGCAGTAATTTAAATAATTAACAATTGGAAGCAACCCAAATACCCAGTAATAAAGGATTTAGTAAATCAGTTATTGTACTTCACAACACAATGAGATATTAGAAAGCAATTAGCGTTTATAGGAATGATCCATGACATGAAAAAAATGTACCCAGTATACTGGCACCTAAGTCAGTAATGTATGTAAAAATGGCCTATGTGACATAAAATGTAAGTGGATATATGTTTGCATGTGTATGTGTGTGTAGAAGTACAACCAAAGGCTTACAGCACCTGTCTCTGAGAGCTGAGGTCACTCTGCTATTTGTTTTCACACATTTCTGAATTTTCTAAGTTTTCCTAAATGAATGTATATCACTTTTATGCTCATAGGATAAATAATATCTATTTTTATTGTTGGAGAAGAATTATGTGAATATTAACCTGATCTTTGAAATGCAGAAGTTTTTTTTTAAGCATAAAAGCAATCCATACAATCTTAAATAATAGAGATTTTCATAGACAAATTTCTTTGACTATTAACAAATATTGTTAAAAGGCTAAAAACAAGCTGTTATAAATATTTTCTACAAATACTACAGATACAGATTTACTACACTTTCTTAGCAAAAATGTGATCTCATTTTTGTTTTAAAAATGTATATAGGTAAATGTAGCCGGGCACAGTGGCTCACGTCTGTAATCCCAGCACTTTGGGAGGCCAAGTGGGGGTGGATCATGAGGTCAGGAGATTGAGACCATCCTGGCTAACAACGGTGAAACATCGTCTCTACTGAAAATATTAAAAAAAAACAAAAATTAGCTGGGCGTGGTGGCGTTCACCTGTAGTCCCAAGCTGCTTGGGAGGCTGAGGCAGGAGAATCACTTGAACCCGGGAGGTGGAGGTTGCAGTGAGCTGATAGCGCACCACTGCACTCCAGCCTGGATGACCCAGCAAGACCCGTCTCAAAAAAAAAAAATGTATATAGGTAAATGTAATAATGAGAAAGTACTAGAAGAAAATACACTCTACTGCTATCATTGTTTCTATCTGGGAAGTGCAGGTGCTTTTACAGATGTTTTTTGCACTTTTCTGTTCTTTCCAGCTTTCTGCACAGAGAGCTGGCATGTGTTTGGCAACCAGGGGACACATAGGCATCCTAGAGAGTGGCTCTGAGCACATGGCCTGCCGTCTGCGGCCTAGTGGCCTGCTCTCGAGGGAGGCTCTGGGGCAGGCCTCTGAAGAACTAATTCTCCATCAGGGATTGGTGATCATATGGGCAGTTGTCTAGAGAGTCTAGCAGATATATTTTAGGCAACTTCACTACCCTGGTGAGAGGCCAGACAGACTTCCTATGTCTAGTTCTGATAATGAGAGTGACCCATTCAGAAAAGGGTTAAGTAAAAATAGTGAATTTTAAAATTTTAATAAGTTCATGTACTAACTGACATTGAAACAAAAATCATTTCGTAAATCATTACAAGTTGATAGTGAGTAAAGCCCATCAGTGTAATTTTGTAAGATTGAAACATGGGTATATGTATCTATATTGACACATACCTGAAGTATGATCTATCTTAGATATGAAAGTGAAATGAAAAGTACACATTGTGGGCAGATACTGAGTGTCTGGAAGGAGGGAAGGGGCTGCTGTCCCAGCAAGGGAGCACAGCCCGCACAACACGCAGGTTGGATGCCAGGCCCGGGGTCGAGCTCAGGGTCTGTGGGATCTGCATTCCCTGGCCTTGTCAGTCATGTCATGGCCATGCCACTTTTGAGGTGGAGGAGTAAAGAAGTTCACCTGCTGACTGCTTCCTTCTTTTTCCGCTGAGACCATCACCGAGAGTGGTAATTATTTATAATAGAAATGGTGATTACTGGTGGATTCTGTGATAGGAATTAAGTTGAATCTTCCTTGCCCGTCCTCCTCCAGCATAAGCTGTTTTAAATTCTAGCTCCCCCACATCCTGCTTCTTGTTGGCACTGTAAAACTCTCAATTCACTCACCTGGAGGGGGTAAGTTAATGAGACACTCTCTCCCCCAGATCTGGAGAAATTCAGAGTCAAGGCTGTCCCCCTCCTGAAGTCAGATCCTTCCTGTGGCCTATTTAGGTTTTAGGTAAAAACATAGCATTTGCTCATTTTCCTTTATTGAGATCTGTTGAAGTCTGAGCTCCTATTAACACATTTATCGAAAATGGAACCTATGAGCAAATTCCTAGGAGCTGCATTTCCAGGGGTGTCCAGCTGTGACCCACCCCGCCCCCTCCCGGTGTTACCCTGAGTTATGAGAATGCAGTCTTTGGAAGTGGTGGGCTAAAACACTCCACAGGGTGGTGCATGGGGGCTGCCCACACTCCCTGCTGCTTTCTGCTCTCTGCTTGTTCATCCTCTCCCAACGGGGCAGCCCCAGAAGCCAACACTGCATGTTGGAAGGAGTCCCAGCCCTGCCCCTGCCAAGCGAGGTGGGGACAGCTGGGAATCTCGCTGCCTTCATGGTGGCGGGCCAGGCTGCTCTGTAACACGAACATTAAAACTGATTTGAGGTGTTAGCGGTGTCACTGTAAGTGTGAGAATGAGAAGCGGTGTGAGACGTGTAGATTTGTGGGCAGTGATGGGGAACAGCAAGGGTGGGGTGCCTCGGTGGGATCTGAAAGAGAACCCGCCCCCCTCAGCTGGAGTGGCACTCTGTAACCCGCCCCCCCTCAGCTGGAGTGGCACTCTGTTGGCTGTTGTTTTCAGGCTGTTGGGCCGTGAGGCTGCTCTGGTCTGAGAAAGTGGGTGGCAGGAGGACAGGACGGCCTCTCTGTGAGGGAGGCACTGACTCTCAGGAGATGCTGTCATTGGGATACTACAGTATTCCATGAACTTCCTCTATAACTTAAATGATGAAAGTTACAGATAATAGCTCAAATAAACTGTTGTGAGCCGTTAAGTATGGCAGTTTGTATCATGGTTAAATCTGCAGAAGGTGTAACATTTTGCTTGGGTTTTTTTTTGCCTTATTACTGGCCGTGTTTTAAAAATATCTTTCTTATGAAGAAATTCTGTCGTGGCTGTGTGATTTCCCCTGCGATGCTAGGATGTGTTTGCAAACCAGTGGCAATGCCAGAGCCTGGGCCCTGGGCTGCGGTGCGTTGGCTGGGTGTGGTCTGTGGTAGCTTCCACCTGCTGCCTGCGCTTGGGAAGTGCCCTGACCTCTGAGCAGATGACCTCTGAGCAGATGACCTCTGAGCAGATGGTTTCTGATGGTGGTTTTTTTTCTGATTAATTGAATTACAAGTATCCTGTGGTAGGTACAGGGTTTTCCCTTTCCCTTGTCCAATAAATCTTAACTTCATTCTGTGATTTTTAGAAAAGGAAGAATGCCCACAGATGTGGAGGCACAGATGCCCTGGGCCTCGCAGCAAGCTTATCCTTAACAACCCATTCTCCTTCAGGCCCTGCCACTTAGGGAGAAGACTGTGGGGGCAGTGCCTGCCTGTCCTCTCTCCATTAAGCCTCTGCTGGGGGCCTGCCTCCACAGTGCTCTTCCCGGTCTCAGAGTGGCAGGGGACACACAGGCAGGGTTCTTACCACCATGGAGCTTATTTCTGGTGGGTGGAGGGAGGGCCCACAACCAAAGAAAGTGACTTACAAACACAGCAGGCACATGCTACATGGAGAGCAGGGAGGCTGAGCAGGAGTGGCTGAGGGGCTGCCTGGAGGGTGGGCAAGGGAGGACTTTCGGAGGAGGAGGTGTTGGAACTGGGTGGCAGGGGGGAGCCAGGCATGTGTCTAGGCAGGAGGCGTGCATGGAGCAAAGACCTGATGGAGGAAAGGAAGGGGTGGGGGGCAGCTGGGGTGAGGAAGCCAGTGCAGGAGATGAGGTCAGGAGAGCAGGCCCCCTCTAGGAGGTCAGGTGTCACCCTCAGGGCAGTGGACAGCATGGCCCCAGGCCCCACTGCAGAGGCTCGCCCTGGCTGTCGGGAAGGCACTGGGGTGCAGGTTTGGTACGGAGGCTGCAGGTGCCCAGGCAGTGTGGTTAGGCCTGCTGAGATGTGGTGCGTGCCGAGGCTGCCAATGGGACTGGAAGGAGGACTCAGACCTGACTCCGAGGGGCCTGAGCAACTCAGGCAGGATGACGTGGGGAGGGTCAGGTCCAAGGTAGGAGGGGTTAAGGATTTGGTCTTGGACTTCAGGTAACAGATGTCCAAGTGGCTTGGCCAGGTAGGCAGTGGATATGGGAGTTCATGGGGGAGAGCAGGGGCAAGGAGATTAATTTAGGAAATTATCAGCAGAGAAAGAGAGCATGGCTATGGACTGGGTGGGCTCATCTAGGGGAGAGGAGCAGAGGTCCAGGCCCAACACCCAGGGGCCTGTGGCTGGAGCCCAGAAGAGACTGGTGTGGTTGGAACTCCAGGTGGGGCTTGCTCCACTCTATCCTGGGTGCTCATGCCCCAGATCTCTGTGTGCTCAAGGAGCGTTGGCAGCATCCTGACCCGCCCTGCTCACATGCCCCATCCCTGCTTTCCCCTGTCAGTGGGTTGCAGGCCCATGATCCCGCCAGGCCTGTCCATCTGTCCCTGTGTCGCAGACAGTGCCAACCTTCCCTGATGTTTGTGTCTCCCGCCTGAGGCCTGCCTGTGTTTCCAGTGTCTTCCACCACGGCATTCAGGATGTGGAGGACAGTGACCCGCGTGTGGCTCCCATGGCTGGCCTGGCTGGTCTGGAAAGCATGCGTTCTGCTTTCCTGGCCAGATCGTCTTTTCATGTGCTTATTTGCCATCTGTATATTTTCTTTGAAGTACCTGATCAAATATTTTGCTCATTTTAAAAACTGGGTTGTTTATTTTCTTATTGAGCTTTGAGAATTTTTTCTGTATATATTCTGGATACAGTCTTTTATGGGGTATGTGTTTTGCAAATATTTTCTCTCAGTCTGTAGCCTGACTTTTCATTTTTATAACAGTGACTTGAAGATGAAAAGTTTTAAAATTTGGTAACCTCCAACATCAGTTTTTTCTTTTGTAGTTCATGCCTTTTGTATCATGCTTAAGAATTCTTTGTTAAATTGAAGGTCTTTAAGATTTTATCTTATTCATTCTTCTATAAGCTTTATAGTTTTGACTATTACATTTAAGTCTATGATCCATTTTGAATTAACTCTATATTGGATGCAAAGAAAATGTCAAGGTTCTTATTTTTCTTGTTTTTAAAAATACAATGTCCAGTTGTTCCAGCACCATTTCTTGAAAAGATTATCTGTTCCTCATTAAGTTGCCTGGGAAGCTTTGTCAAAATCACTTGTTCATATGTGTGTGTTTTCAGGATATCTGGGATTTGTTTTAATACAGTGTGCTAAGACATGAGACATAGAAATGACTGTCATGAAGGAAGAAAGTGTTTGTACCCACAGCTCCCTGGAAGCAGGAGCACGGCTGCCAGGCAGGGCCACATGGGAAGCACCGGGTAGGTCAAGAGGCAGAGAGAGCAAGGGGACAATGTGGGCAGGGAAAGCCTCACTGTGGTCTCCACAGGAGGAATGGGTGAGGCAGGGGGAGCAGGCTTAGGAGTGGCACTTTGAATCATTTCAGCAGGCCCTTGGGTGTAGGGTCTGTCCCTAGTTGTCTGGTGCCTGGCCTTGGGTGATTGGGGCAGGTGGGGAGTGGCCCCATGTGAGAGGAGGTGGTTGGGGTGTGGGCTCTGGATTGGTGGGTTTGTATTTGAAAGGTACACTCCAGGATGGGTTGTTTGCTATTTCTAGGAATTGGCTAACGCTGGGAGGGCAGTCCCTCCAGGTCAGCAAGCCCTGGATGTCAAAGCATCAGACACAGAAAAGGAAAAACATGGTTAATACTGTGTGCAGACTATTTCTGGACTGTATTCTATTCCATGGGTCAATTTATTTATCTTTATAACTAGCTTTATAATAAATCTTGAAATCGGGCAGTATAAGCCCTCCCATTTTGTTCTCTTTTTCAAAGTTCTTTGGCTGGTTTATTTCCTCGGTATCTTCATACAAATTCTAGAATTAGATTAGTTCAGCTTTTGGTTGGGGTTGCACTGAATTGATAGATCACTTGTGGAGGTTGGTATCTTGTTAAAGGAAGTGCTTGGAGGGTACGGTCTAACTTTGTTCCTGAATTTAGGGGTAAACATTCAGTTTTCACCCTTGTGTATACTGCTAGCTGTATGTTTCAACTGGAGGTCCTTTATCAGGTTCAGAAAGAGTCCTTAAATTCCCAGGTTGCTGAGGATTTTTATCATGAGTTAATACTGAATTTTGTCAAATGTTTTCTCTGTATCTATTGAGATGATCATATGGTGTTTCTTTTTTGTTTATATGGTGAATTACATTGATAGCTTTAAAAAACAATAGTAAGCCAGTTGCATTTCTGGGTTAAAACCCACTTTATCTGCATGTATTTATTTTATATTGTTGGATTTTTATATGCTAAAATTTAAGAATTTTGGCATCTATATTTCTGAGGAATATTGATGTCTTTTCTTATGTGTATTTTTCTGATTTTTTATCATGTTAATGCTTGCCTTATAGAATGAATTGGGAAGTATTCTCTCATCTTCAGTTTTCTAGATGAGTTAGTAAGAAATTGATATTATTTCTTCCTTGTATATTTTATTTTATAGAATTCACCTGCAAAGTCATCTCGGTCAGCACTTTTCTTTGTGGGAAGGTTTTATCTTGAATGCAGTTTCTTTGGTATGTATATAGGATTATTTAATTCTCCTTAAGTGAGTTTTGATTATTTGATTCTTGTAAGAACTTGCTCCATCTAAGTTAGCAGATTTACTGACATGCAGTAGTTCATAGCATCCGCTTATTGTATTTATTTATTTATTGAGGTGAAATTCACTTAAAATGCAATTAAAGTGCACTTAAAATGCAATTAAAGTACACCAAATTAAAGTGTACAATTTGGTGCATTCAGAATGTTGTACAACCAGTACCCAGTTTCAAGACTTTTTCAAAACTTTTTTGTTACCACGAAGGAATACCTCCCACCCATTAAGTAATCACTCCTGGTCTCCCCCTGTCCTTATGCCCTGGAAACCACTAACCTGCTTTTTGTCTCTATGGACTTGCCTGTTCTAGATATTTCATCTGAAGAAATAATGCAATATATAACCTTTTACGTCTGGGTTCTTTCACTTAGCCCCGCTTGGAGGTTCATCTGTAACACGTGCTGTACTTCATTCCTTTTGATGTCTGCAGAATACTCCACTGATGCCTGTACCAGATGTGTTTATCCATTCATTTGCTGATGGACATTTGGGTTGTTTCCCCGTGTTGGCTATTATGAATAGCACTGTTATGAACAAGTATCTGCTTACATGTGTATTTTTAATTCTTTTGGGTCTGTACCTAGGAGGGGAGTTGCTGTCCTATGGTGATTCTATGTTTAACTTTTTGAGGAACTGCCAGACTGTTTTCCACCCTAGCAGCACCATTTTTCATTTCCACCAGCGATGTATGAGGTTGCCTGTTTCTCCAGGTCCTCACCAACACTTCTGTTAGACTTTTTTGATTATAGCCATTCTGGTGTGAAGTGGTATCACATTGTGGTTTGACCTAATTGTCTTCATAATATCTTTTGTGTCTGTATAATGTTCTATTTCTCATTCTTGATATTGGTAATTTGGGCCTTCTACCTTTTTTCTTGGTCAGTGCAACTAGATATTTATCAATATTATGTGCCTTATTAAAGAACCAACTTTCGGTTTTATTAATTTTCTGTATTTTTTACTTCTATTTATATATTTTTAGAGACAGAGGCTTGCTCTGTAACCTTGAACTTCTTGGCTCACGTGATCTTCCTGCCTCTGCCTCTCAAGTAGCTAGGATTACAGGGATGTTCCACCATCTACCATGCCTGGTTAATGTAAAAAAATTTTTTTGTAGAGAGTAGGTCTTGCTATGTTGCCCAGGCTGGTCTCAAACTCCTGGCTTCAAGTGATCTTCCCACTTTAGTCTCCTGAAGCAAGTATTTTTAAAATGGCTTTTCAGCTTATAGATTTTTATTCTTTATTTCCTTTCTTCTGCTTGTTTTGCTCTGTTTTAGTAAGCTTAGGTAATGGATTTGAGACCTTTTATTTCCCTAATATAATCATTTAGTGCTGTTGATTTCCCTCTTGGTACTGCTTTTACTGCCTCCCACATATTTTGATATGTAGTGTTTTCATTTTTATTCAGGTCAAAATGCTTTCTTATTTCCATTGTGTTTTTTCTTTGACCCATATGTTATTTAGACATGTGCTGTTTATTTTCCAAGTATTTGGAAAACTTCCCAAATACTTTTTTGTTCCTGTTTTCTAATTTAATTGATTTCTAATTTAATTCCATTGTGGTCAGGAAACATTTTTTTTATTCCTTTACAGTTTTATTGAAATTTAAAAAAAATTTTCAGAATATTACCTTTGAAAATATCTCATGACCACTTGAAAAGAAGGCATATTCTGTTATAATTGTGTGGAGTGTTCTATAAATGTCAGTTAAATAATGTTGGATGATAATGTTATTTGAGTCTCCTATATCCCGTACTGATCTTCTGTGTAGGTTTTTACAAAATCAGTTATTGAAAGAGAAGTGTAGAAAGCTTCCATTATAATTGTGGATTTATCTATTTGGTGGGGGGTTGCTTTATATATTTTTAAGCTCTTTATTAGGTGTGTGAACGTTTAGGGTTATTATTTTCTCTTGATAAACTGACCCCTTAATTATTATATAATGTCCTTATTTACTTGTGGTAATATTATGTACCCTGAAATCTACTTTTTCTGATATTAAGATAGTCACTCCACCTTTTTTTTATTAGAGTTAACATGTCACATTTTTTCCCATCCTTTTTCTTTTAACCTCTGTGTATGTTTATATTTAAAGTGGGTTTCTTACAAATAGCTTATAGCGTGGTCTTGTTTTTTTATCAAGTCTTAAAAGGTACATTTTAATTGGGATGTTGAGACCATTCATATTTAATGTGATTATTGATATGGTTGGGTATAAATCTGTCATTTTGCTGTTGGATTTCTATTTTTCCCACTTGTTATTAGAGTCCCCTTTTTTCTCTCATTCTCCTTTATTTTGGATTGAGTACTTTCTATGATCAGTTTTATTACCTTTACTAGCTTTGTTGCCCACACAATGGGTGGGTTCAATTGCTTGGCCACCAATAGTACAATGAGCTCAACCAAGGAGGATTTAACAAGGGAATCTAAAATTGCAGCAAGTAAGGAGGACACCAGGGATAAATCTCCAAAGCAACGCCTCCCTGAACAACGCTGAAAACACCGTTTTTAGGCTCGTTAGCTGAATCATTGTGTGTAGAAGGTACAGTCAAGGCAGCACAGGCACAGTTGTCAGTCATGCTTCTACATACATCACAGGTATACAAGATGGCAAATAAGCTCTTCTCTGGGCGGAGTTTTTAGTGTGGTAATGAGGAGAGTTTGCCAAAGTTCATCTCCAACTGAGGCCTCTCTGGATCTAACTGGCTTTTGTTTCACCAGCACTGGGCTTCTTCCTGGAACTTTTCTTAAACAACAACTCAAGATGCAACAGTTAAAGTGGATACTTTTTACAGTATATGCCTGAAAACCTGAGGACATTGGGTTGCAGCTTATTAGCTTTATCTCTGTGTTTTCAGAGGTTGCTTTAGGATTTGTTGTATATTTCCTTAAGCTACCATAGTCATCTGCAAGTAATATCATACCAGTTCACATATAATGTAAGAACATTACCAAAGTATACCCTCTCACTTCTGGCTATTACATTATGCCCTTATCTCCTCACTTCGATATTGTCATAAGCCCCACAATGCATTGCCTTTTTTTTTTCTTTTGCTTTACATAGTCTATTATCTTTGAAAGCAATCTTAAAAAATTAAGAACAAAAGGCTTTTATATTTTACATATTTTCTGTTTCAATGGTTTTCACTTCTTTTTGTAGATCCAGATTTCCTTCTGGTATTATTTTCCTTTTGTGTTTTGTACTTCTTTTAATATTATTTGCAGTTCAGGTATGTTGGATAATGAATTATTTTAGCTTTTGTTTGTTAGAAAAAATCTTCTTTTTACTTTTATATTTGAAAGTTATTTTTACTATGTATAGTATTCCAGGTTGGTAGCCTTTTCTTTCATTACTTTAGAGATAGAATTCAATTGGCTCCTGACTTGCACTGTTTCTGAAAAGTTCTCTGTTCACCCTGTCTGTGCTTGTCTCTTTGTACATAGTTTCCTATTTTAAAAAATTAATTATATTGTGTATATCTAAGGTACACAATATAATGTTATAAAATACAGATAATAAAAAGGTTCCTGTAGTGAAGCAAATTAACATACCCATCATCTCACATAGGTACCCAGTTTTGATTTGTTTTGTTTTTCTGTGGCAAGAGCAGCAAATGAGTAGATTTTAGCTGCTCTTGCCATAATGTTTCTTTTTTACTGGCTGCCTTTACGATTTTTTTTTTTTTTACATAATTTGATTATGACGTGCCTTGGTTTAGTTTAATGTTATTTATTTATTTATTTATTTGTGGTTGGGGATTGTTGACCTTTCTGAATCTATGTATGGGCTTAAATTTTCATCCATTTTTGAAAACTTTTTGTAATTTTTTTTGTCTGTTTTAGAGACAAGGCCTCGTTCTGTCACCCAGGCTGGAGTGCAGTGATGCAATCACAGTTCAGAGTAGACTTGAATTCCTGGGCTCAGGTAATCCTCCAACCTCAGCCTCCTGAGTAGCTGGACTACAGGTGTGTGCCACCATGCCTGGCTGATTTTAAAAATGTTTTTGTATAGATGGAGTCTCACTGTGTTGTCCAGGCTGGTCTCAAACTCCTGGGCTCTCAGAGTGCTGGGATTACAGGCTTGAGCCACTCTGCCCTGCCTTTTGTCATTATTTTTTAAAATATGTTTTTGGCTTGTCCCATCCCCTGCTTCTGGGTCTCCAATTACACATATATTTTTGTCTTTTGGGAGTAGAGAATCTTTATCTGTGTTTTATTTTAGGTAGTTTCTGTCTGCACAGATTATTCTGTCTGTACATTGACTGATCTTTTCTTTTGTGGTCTAATATGGTGTTAATCCCAGTCAGTATATTTTTTTAAATCTCAGATGTATTTTTCATCTCTGCATGCTTGATTTGTGTGTTTTAAAAATACTTTTCTTGTCTCTCCTTAGCATTTTATGCTTTCCTGTATCATCTTCTACATATACAATGTATTTATGATAGATGTTTTATTTATTTATGTATTTATTTTTTGAGATGGATTCGCTCTGTCGCCCAGGCTGGAGTGCAGTGGTGCCATCTCGGCTCACTGCAAGCTCCACCTCCTGGGTTCACGCCATTCTCCTGCCTCAGCCTCCCAAGTAGCTGGGACTACAGGCGCCCGCCATCATGCCTGGCTAATTTTTTTGTGTGTATTTTTGGTACAGACGGGGTTTCACTGTGTTAGCCAGGATGGTCTCGATCTCCTGACCTCATGATCTGCCCGCCTCGGCCTCCCAAAGTGCTGGGATTACAGGCATGAGCCACCGTGCCTGGCCTATTTATTTATTTATGTATTTATTTATTCAAATGGAGTCTAGCTCTGTCACCCAGGCTGCAGTGCAGTGGTGCGATCTTGGCTCACTGAAGCCTCTACTTCCTGGGTTTAAGCAATTCTCCTGCTTCAGCCTCCCAAGTAGTTGGGATTACAGGTGCCCACCACCACGCCTGGTTAATTTTTGTATTTTTAATAGAGATGGGATTTCATCATGTTGCTCAGGCTGGTCTTGAACTCCTGACCTCGAGTGATCTGCCTGCCTCTGCCTCCTAAAGTGTATAATAGCTGTTTTAATGTCTTTGTGTACTAATGATCTCTGTGTGTATAATTTCTGAGTTTGTATCTTACTGATCAACCAATCTCATTATGAGATATATTTTTGTGCTTCTTTGCATGCCTCGTCAGTTTTGGACGGATGAAAGACATCGTAAACTTTGTATTGTTGGACTCTGCATTCTTTTAAAATATTTTGAACTATGTTTTGGAATGCATTTAAGTTACTTGGAAAGTTCAGATTTTTTGGCAGCTTGTTGCTGACTTTGTTAAGCATTGCCTAGTGTAGTACCCCAGCTTAGTCTGCTGCCAGTGCAGTCATTTGAGTGCTCAGTGTGGTGTCCCCTGTACTGCAAGGCTCCTGCAGCCTAGTTGTTGGGAGTAGGAACTCTTCCCAGATCTGTGTGAGCCATAGCTATTGTCTGTACTTTTTCTTTTCATTGGTTCTTCCCCCGACCTCCTGTAGTCCACTCACTCACATGTGCCCATCCATGTCCAGGCAGAGACTAGAGAATCCACCACAGACCTCTGGGATGTTTCTCTGTGCAGGGCATTCCTTTCTGGTACTCTGCCCTCTAATTCTAGCTTTTGCCTCCTGTGCTGTGGGGTCCTGAGTGCAGTGCATCCTGATGAGACGGTGCTGCAGGCCCAGCCCACCGACTTCCAGAGATGTCAGTTGCATCTCTCCCCTTTCCTCTCTGCCTTTGCCTCCCTGAATTCTCAACTCCGTTTCCAACTCCCCTGGCCTTGCCTGGGTTCCCCCTTCCTGTGCTGTGGCCCAGGCACTCTCCCCAGGCTGTAGGCTGCAGCAATTGTAGGATGCAACCCATTTGCTTCCCTTCTCTGGGGATCGTTGTCCTGTGCTGCCTGCTGCTCCATGTCTGAACACCCTCGTCTCATATCTTTTGTCTGACTTTTAAGTGAGGTGGGAGAGTCATCCCAGTCTCACTCTTTCTCTGTCACAGCTGACCATGGTCCAGGCTTTCTTATGTTTCTGTAGTCTTTGGACATCACTGGACAGAGGCCGGCTGTCTGTCTGTAGGAGTCTCTGCGCGGTGTTCACCTGCTAATTCAGTCTGCACAGGGAGAACCCTTGGCCTGTGGTCCAGGTGAAGGCCCTTCAGGGTGGAGCCGAGACTGTGGGTGTTCTGGGCTGTCCCGTCCCGTATACTCTCCCTGTGTTCTTACCTTCCCCTATAGATTCAGAGGGATTTGAGAATCAGCTGTGCCCCAGACGTCAGTCAGGCCGAGGACTGTGGGTCAAGGTTCAGGGACCCTGGGGTTCTGAGTCTTTATCAGTGTCGTGTATGTTCCAGACTCAGTTTAGAATTGAATCACTTTTTATGGAATTCTTTCTCTGGGAAACTGTCTTTGACCTTCCCAATAACTGATTTATAAACATGTCTTTTTAATAGATGACTTTGGTTTGATAAAATTTGGTATCTAAGGTGATAGATTGTGATTTCTGTCTCTCTTTGGAAAGCCTATGATTTCCAATTTTAATTGTTTTTTCCTTCAACTGTTTACAGGACTGTCTACAAGAGAGAAGCTCCCCACGTGGTTCCGTGTAAGTAGTGCTTCTTATGATGCTGTCACAGGCGATATTTTTAGACTAAACGACTCTTTCGGTGTCAGCAGAGTTGAAAGTCTTGCTCTCAAGGGAAGCTGTGTGTCTCTGCTGACCCTCTGGATCCTGGTTTTATGTCTCATGGGGAACCTGCCTCAGGTCACACTACTGCCAAGAGCATGTAGTGTGAGTGACACGCGTTTTCCCTTCTTGCTTCTGTGGAACCAAAATTTTAAAAGAGGCAGTTTCCTCCCTCTCTGGTAACCTTTCTCCACAGTTAACCTGACCATGTAGACCAGCAGGAGCTGGAGGGCCAGTTGTTAGTGCACTTGGAGCCTACTGCACGAGCCTACCGCACAAGCCTACCGCACGCCTTTGTTCTTGTGCCAACAGTGCCCACTGCCCGGTAGTGCCTGTGTGTGCGGTGGCCATGATGGCACCACAATGTCTGAAGCCACACAGTGCATGGGTGACATCTGTGGAAAGGACCTGGCACCGGCCAGCACACAGAGGCACTCACCTGTCTCACACAATGCACTGTGGTCCCAATTCTAGTTTTGTAAAACTACCTTGAGATGACTCCTTTTAAAATTATCCTTAAGATGTCTTTCTTTTTCTAAAGCTTATTAAAGGTCATTTTCAAAACGTTTTCAGCAGGAACTTGGTGTATATTTGCAGTTCTGCATGGAAAACTAATGGAGTCATGATGGCTGCTGATGCTGATGAAGTAGTACCAGCCAGCCTGATTTCATAACTTCCATAGAATCACTCCCTTCTTCCTCCCAGTGCCCCTTTGAGATAGGGATTGTTATTCCCTGAGGCTTGGCGAGGTGAAGTAACTCACTCAGGTTATCTTGGTGCCAGTGGTGGGGCTGGGATTTGAGCCAAGTCTTCCAACTTCACAATAGCAGAGTAAGAAGAGCTGCCTTGTTGATGGGACGTGGGTCGGAGCTCCCAGTGTGTCTTGCCTTCCTGGTGTGCTTGATGGCAGCCCTGGGCTGCTGTGAGGTCCTGAGCACAGTGCATCCTGAGGAGACAGTGCTGCGGGCCCCGCCTACTAACTTCCAGAGATGTCAGCTGCAGCAGGGCAGCGCCCTGGTTAGAGAGACGGCATGGGGAGTTGGCAGGGGGAGGCCCTCGGAGAGATGGCATGGGGAGTTGGCAGGGGGAGGCTCTCGGAGAGATGGCATGGAGGGGTTGGGGCCTGTGCTCCTAGGTGCTTAGGCTTGCAGGTGACTGGAATCCTGACTAATATCATAAGAGGAGAGTTCTTACTAACAAATTACTTGAACAAAGACTTTGTTTGTTCCTTCATTCGTTCAGCACATGTTTACAGTGTGCCTGTGATGTCCCAGGCGCACTGCCAGAATCCTGACATCCTTGTGGGGGGATCGAAAACATAAATCTAGTCAGTGAGTTCATCCTGTGGCATGTCAGGGGGTGACAGTGGCTGTGGAGGAAACAGGGAAGGGCAGGGTGTGGGAGTCCTGGTGCTGTGTGAATAGGCCGTCA
Organism: Homo sapiens; assembly: GCF_000001405.40. Taxonomy (NCBI): domain Eukaryota; kingdom Metazoa; phylum Chordata; class Mammalia; order Primates; family Hominidae; genus Homo; species Homo sapiens. Next base: position 45,736,942 of record NC_000021.9, read on the forward strand.
GGTCAGCCCTGAGACACGGGGCATCTGCGCGAGTCTTGCTGGAGGTGCACGTGTGAGCCCCTTGGTGCAGGAGGTGAGGAGCTGCAGGGCCAAGGGGGTTTGGAGCAGAAGCTCGGGTCTGACATGCCTGGTGCATCCATGGGGCAGTGAGGAGGCTGCGGGGCAGGAGGTGAGAGTGCCGCGGGTTAGGAGGTGAGGGTGCAGCTGGGGCACATCAGGGGTCTCACAGGTCATCCCGAGGCTGCTCTCAGTCCACGTGGCGTCGGGGCTGAGAGGAGCCCACAGCAGGGTGGGTGTGGGAGCAGGGAGCCAGCCAGTCTCTTCTCTGTGCTAGGTTATTGTTGTGGCTTTAGCTAAAGCTGCTGTAATACCTGTTTCTTAGAGGAATCCAAATCCCTGTTGCCTTGGGGCCAACTTTGTAATCTTACAAATCTGGATCTAATTTTCACCAAACTCTCAAGGGAAGAGCCTCTGGGACTCAGACAGATAAACAACACCTGTTATGTGCTGTTCCCATTTTCTCTTCGACTTTGGTGTTGTCCAAATTCTTCTGAGCCTAACTGTAGGCTCTTCAGACCCAGCCTACAGTTCTGGAAATAAACCAGCGTGCTGGGGTGGGGCGAGCCCGACCATGCAAGCCATGCCCCGGCAGCCAGGCTGAGAGGCAGAGCAAGCAGTGCAGGTGGACCCATCGCCTGCCAGCATGTGGGTTCTGGAGGCTGCAGCAGGCAGATTCTGGAAATTCCCTGAGGCCTTCGTTCAGTACAGACAGGGAACTTTTATAGGTACCTGTGGCCTCTTCTGCTGGTGGGAATGGAGGTGCCATGAGCACTGAGCTGGTTGGAACAGAAGGGCTCTCCTCTCGTGGGCTGTGTCGAGTGAGTCCTGCAGCTTCTCGCTGTGAGATTCTGGGGTGCCATGATGAAGCAGAGCGGAGCTCATCTGAGTGGATGTTTCCCAGGGGAGCCAGTAGTTTTGGAAGCACTTGGTTTTTCCATTCCCATGTCTTGGAGGACTCTTCCCCCTTCCTGAGAGAGAGCGATGAATGTAGGCCTCCATGGAGAAGCACAGGTGCCTTCCCTGGGCTGTGTGTGGTCCGTGCAGACCTCTCAGGTCCACTTCATTTTGCAGGTAAGGACCCATCTCCCATAGCTGGTTAGTGCCAGAGCCCACTCCTAGCCCCATGTAGGGGCTGTTTTTCAGCTACAGCAAGATCAGGAAATAAGAAGTAGTAATGAATACTTCATTGAAGATTTTTATTTACTTTGAGGTCTTTTATTTCTTGTAATACTGAATTGGTTATTTGCTTCTTAGAGTTTTTTTTTTTTTTTTTGAGACAGTCTAGCTCTGTCGCCCAGGCTGGAGTGCAGTGGTGCCATCTTGGCTCACTTCAAGCTCCGCCTCCCGGGTTCACGCCATTCTCCTACCTCAGCCTCCTGAGTAGCTGGGACTACAGACGCCCGCCACCACGCCCAGCTAATTTTTTGTATTCTTAGTAGAGACGGGGTTTCACCGTGTTCGCCAGGATGGTCTCGATCTCCTGACCTCGTGATCCACACGCCTCGGCCTCCCAAAGTGCTGGGATTCCAGTCGTGAGCCACTGCGCCTGGCCTAGAGTTTTTTGCTTTCCGTAAGATAACAATTTTCCTTATAGAACTGAAAAATATGAAAAACAATTTAAAAATTCACCTATGCTTAGCCTTAGTGCAGAGAGCAGCTGAAGGGTATCAGGGGATTGTCCTCACCCCTTCCTGTCCATGGCCCCCTGGGTAGCCCCCCCATCTTCATCAGCCCACCCCTTCCTGTCCATTGTCTTCTGCGTGGCCCCTCCCATCTTCATCAGCCCACCCCTTCTTGTCCATGGTCCTCTGGGTGGCTCCCCCATCTTCATCAGCCCACCCCTTCCTGTCCACGGTCCTCTGGGTAGCCCCCCTATCTTCATCAGCCCACCCCTTCCTGTCCACGATCCTCTGGGTGGCCCCCCCATCTTCATCAGCCCACCCCTTCCTGTCCACGGTCCTCTGGGTAGCCCCCCCATCTTCAGCCCACCCCTTCCTGTCCACGGTCCTCTGGGTGGCCCCACCATCTTCATCAGCCCACCCCTTCCTGTCCACGGTCCTCTGGGTAGCCCCCCATCTTCATCAGCCCACCCCTTCCTGTCCGCGGTCCTCTGGGTGGCCCCCCCATCTTCATCAGCCCACCCCTTCCTGTCCATTGTCCTCTGGGTGGCCCTCCCCCATCTTCATCAGCCCACCCCTTCCTGCCCATTGTCCTCTGGGTGGCACCCCCCATCTTCATCAGCCCACCCCTTCCTGTCCATGGCCCCCTGGATGGCCCCCCCATCTTCATCAGCCCACCCCTTCCTGTGCATTGTCCTCTGGGTGGCCCCTCCCATCTTCAACAGCCCACCCCTTCCTGTCCACGGTCCTCTGGGTAGCCCCCCCATCTTCATCAGCCCACCACTTCCTGTTTGTCCATGGCCCCCTGGATGGCCCCCCCATCTTCATCAGCCCACCACTTCCTGTTTGTCCATGGCCTCCTGGGTGGCCCCCCGATCTTCAGCCCACCCCTTCCCGTCCATGGTCTTCTGGGTGGCCCCTCCCTTCTTCATCAGCCCATCCTTCCTGTCCATTGTCCTCTGGGTGCCCCCCCCCATCTTCATCAGCCCACCCCTTCCTGTCCATTGTCCTCTGGGTGGCCCCTCCCATCTTCATCAGCCCACCCCTTCCTATCCATTGTCCTCTGGGTGGCCCCCCCATCTTCATCAGCCCACCCTTCCTGTCCATTGTGCTCTGGGTGGACCCCCCATCTTCATCAGCCCACCCCTTCCTGCCCATGGCCCTCTGGGTGGCCTCCCCATCTTCATCAGCCCACAGCACCTGGTGCTGCATTGTAGTCACTGTCACACACACTCTCTTCGCTTTGCCTCTGTGTCCTCCCAGTGTCCATGTGGTAGAACAAGATCACAGCATTGATGGAGACCACATAGCTGTGCAGACTAGTCTCGTCTAATTTCACAGCCAAGGGCTTGGATCCACCCTCACTTGCCTAGTCCCAGCAGCACCCCCTTGAAGAATTGCTTTTGCCTGAGTCCATTCTGTTCTGTCTGCTTCCCCTTCCTCAGATCTCTGATCTAATCAGATGTGAGTCTCAGCTGGCGTCTATGCCTCAGAGTTAAGGAGAAGAGAGTTGCTTCTCTGCCCCATCCTCCGACCCAAGGGGCTAAGTCGCGTTTCCTCCCTTGGCCTTTCCTGCCCCTCAAGTGCAAGGAGCCCTCGCTGTTAGCTCAGGACAAGCCCACCCTCTTGTTTCCTCAGGGACTTGCCCCGCTGTGTGGTCTGTGGTGCCATCTCTCTGCGTGCCCGCCTCACTGGCAGGTCACTTCTGTTAGCATCCGGGATGACTTAGTAGCTCCCATGTTAAAATTAAAAAAAATTATTCCCTTGATCCTTGATTTTCAGCCAGATTGGCAAATTGATTTCACAGTGACCTCTGCTTCCTCTTAAAAGCCCACTAAAATGACAGGCAAGATGTTTTTAAAGGGCAAAAGTCACCAAGAAATTGAGAAAGAAGATGACAGAACTTTGAAAGTTGGAAGGCAAATGGTCAGAGCAGATCTGAACCTAGAAAGCTGAGAGGTGCGTGTGTGTGTGCATGTGAGTGTGTGTGTGGTGTGTGTAGTGTGTGTGTGTGTGTGAAGTGTGTGTGCATGTGTATTTACCCACACAGGTCTGTGTGTACACATGCGTGTGTGTATGTGTGTGCAGGTGAGTGTGTATATAGGTGTGCACGCATGCGTGTGTGTGTGGAAGGTGTGTGCATGTGTGTGTGGTATGTGTGCATCTGTTATATGTGTGTGTGTTGAGGGGACTGAGAAGTGAGTTTCTTGTGTTGCAGACAGTGCCCCCACGTCTTGGGAATGGCGTTACTGTGCAGCTGAACATGGGGAGGCAGTAGAGATACGGTTGACATAGGAAAGCTGTGGAAAGCTTGTCTGAGAAGGAGTCAGCCTCTCAGCCCTCTCCTACCCAGTCTGGTTCCTCCCTGGAAGGTGACTTGGGAGCCTGCCCTGCGGTGGGGGACTGTCCTAAACGGAAAGCAGGGCACGGGATGGCTTCACTCCAGCTCCTCCTTATTTGGCCCCAGAGCACTGGGAACCTAGGAACAGACACAGGAGGGAGGGAAAGGAGCCACTTGGTGGGTGAGGAAGCTGGACGCTGGGGCCCTGGGGCGTGGCTCCAAGAAGGGCTGGAGGGTGATGTCGGGATGAGTGGGTCTGCAGTGGTCGGCCCCATGGCTAGGAGTTTGGAAAGAAATCAACCTAAGTTCATAGAACACCAAAGAAAGCAGTGGGGAGGCCCTTATTCACTGTGAGAAGCAGAAACATTGTGCAAGAAGGGAGCTGCAGCATCAGGTGTGGGTACCAGGTGCACAGCCAGCGAGGGGAGTCCTGGAAAGTGGGGAGGAGGGCGAGGTAGGGGCTCAGGAGAGTCAGTGCTCATCTTTTATAGCAGGAAGCTAACAGCTGATACATAAAGTTGTAAGATCAAGAATAGCAATACAAACTCAGTAATTAGAAATATGGAGATAAAGAAATGCCAAAAGAGGCTAAGAGCTCAGGGAAGGATTGTGATGTAGGGGGCAAGGGAGGGGTAGGGCCACTGCTTTTCATAAGCTTTATCGAATTATTTGCTTTTAAAAACTGTGTATATTTATAGTTTTATTAAAAATAAAAAATTTTAAAGGTTATATGGCAAATATTATTTTATAAAAAATTGATGAACCTCAGGCCCTGAGCTCCCTTGCTTGCCCTGCTCCTGCCAGGGCAGACTTCCACTGCCCTTGCCCTCTGGTCCTCTCCACTTCAGAGGCCCGGCCTCTGGCTTGGTGAATCTGAGGCAGATCTTTCTCCTCAGGTTGCTTGAGCTCTGCAGCGTTAGGCCTGGTGAGCGCCTCTTGCCCAGTGCCCTGGGGGCGGTGGGGAAATTCCAGTCCAGACTGTCTGCCTCAGGCATTCAGTACACACTTTCGTGCCCTGCTTTTTAACTGAATAGTATTCTGCAAAGTGTTCGACCTTACCTAGTTTGAGAACATTATTTTTAGAAGGTTGCATGGTTTCCCATGTTGTGGATCTAGGTATCATTTATTGGATTATTCCCTTTTTGTTTATTTTTTCTGATTTTCCACTAATATCCATAATACGAGGTAAACACCCTTGTGCATAAATCCACAGCAGCTTCCTCTCTTTTGTAGGCAGTGTTCACACCTACAGAATTCCTGGGTCAGAGGACATGGACATTTAAAAGAGGCATAATGTGTAATTGCCAGGTTGATCTCAAAAGTGCAAGTTTGTACTTGAACAAGGCTGTACCAGAGTGCCTGTGCTGTTGTATCCTGACACACCAGGTACTGCATACGTCTCCATCTCGAAATGCAGAAGCACACTGAACACACATGGCTTAGCTCTTTAACAATAATGTCGTTTTCCCCCATGCTCATAAGCATTCTTGCATTATTGAAGATACTCTGCTTTTATGTCTGTGGGAGGAATTTTCCCCAGTTGAGTCGTGCACTTTTTCATCTGATCTGTAGCATTTTGGGTAGCTCGCTCAGTATTTTCCGTTGTGATGTCGTCTCTTATTGTGTTTACATTTAGAAAATCCTTTTCTTGGGATTTAATTAGGTGTATGTTCTTAGGTGAAGATCTAAGTTATTTTTTCTTATATTAGAAACACCATTTATTCAAAATACTTCATTTTTCTAATGATTCATGCTGCAACTTTTTATGTATGTGTACCACATATGAAAATATTGTGTATTTTAGTGTCTGTTTCTGAATTCTCTAATTGACCTCTTTGTTCTAGTGCTGGTACACTGTTTTAATTATTTTAGTTTCACGATATATTTCCATATCTGATAAAGGTAACCAATATTTCAAAAAATATTTTGGTTATTCTTGGCTACCTACTTTCTAAATGAACTTTAGAATGATTTTCAAGTTTAAAAAGTTAATCATATTGAGGTTTCTTTTCAAATGGATCAGATCTATAATTTAAATTATAAACAGCTGACATTTTAACAATATTTAAATAGTTTCCTATATAGAAAGGGAATCTGTCTTTCCATTTATTCTGTTATTAGCCTTCAGTTACATTTCATAGCTTTCTTGCTGTAGGTTTTATCTTTCAAATTTTTTTCCAACTAATTTGTGTTATTTGGTTATTGTAATTGGGATTTTTCCCATTGCATTTATCAAATATTTAACATTATATAGGAAAACTATCAGTTTTTATATATTTGAATGTGGTCACATGTTAAAATGGTTTTATTTGCAAAAGGGTTTTCAGGTGAAATTTGACTTATTTTTACCTTGACCCAACATTCACCATGAAGTATGCTCCCTGTAGCTCTCTGGTATATATTCTTCATTAAGCTACAGAAGTTTTCTTTTATTGCTATTTATTAAGTTACGTGTTTTTTAAAATCAAAAAAGTTGCATTTCACTAAATGTGTTCATTGCTACTATTTAGGTGGTTGTATGATTCCTGCTTTTGTCTCTCAATGGAGTGAATTCTGTTCCTGACATTCCAAGTGTTGATTCTTGGAATAAACCCCGTTAGGCCATAGCTCTTCCAATTATAATATGCTCCCAGTATCTTATTGGGACTAGAATAAGGGTTAATAATAGGGTTAGGGCTAGAGTTAAGGCTAGCATAAGGGTTGGAGTTACCGTTAGTGTTCGAGTTATTGTAAAGGTTAGGATTAGGGTTACTGTTAGGGTTATCGTGAGGGTTATGGCTAGGGTGATAGTGCTCTATAAGGTTCTTTTTTTTCTAATTTTTATATGATTTTGGCAATAAATGATAGCTTGCTTTCATAACATGATTTGAGAATTGTCCCATGTTTTTCTATCCTTTAAATAACAAATTTTTCTGTCTTCTGTTTAGAAATGCAAATGTTATCAGCCTTCGATAGAATTCTACCTTTAATAGAATTCGTCTATCAAAGCTGCTAAGCCTGGAGCCTATTTTGGAGACTGATTTTTTAGTGTCTATATAATTTCTACCATGGTTATTGATTTTATACACATTTTCTTATACACCAATGGTTTTTTGCTTAGGAAACAGTCAGTTTTAAGCAAGTTTTTAGGTATATAGGTAAAAATGTGTATATGTTTTATATATATATATACATATGTATGTATATAACATATATATGTTGTGCTCGTCATTTTTCAGTCTTTAAAAATTTTTAACTTAATTTAATTTTTCTTTTTATTATTTTTTTAGAGACAGAGCCACACTCTGTTGGATGTTGATCCCAGCTCACCGCAGCCTTGAACTCCTGGGCTCAAGCGATCCTTCCACCTCAGTCTCCCACGTAGCTGGGACTACAGGCATGTGCCAACGCATCCAGCTAATTTTTAAAATTTTTTTAGGCACTGGGGTCTTGCTTAGATGCTCAGGCTAGTCTCAAACTCCTTGGCCTCAAGTGATCTTCCTGCCACGTCCTCTCAAAGTGCTAGGATTACAGGTGTAGGCCACCATGCCGGGCCTAGTTTTTCAGTCATTTTATCTGTTACTGTGTTCCCTTTATTTCTAGTACTTACTTCAGCATTTTAGTCACATTTGTCTAATTTTTTCTCCAAAATAGCTTTCATTTATATTGATCATTTATAATTTTACTATTAATTTCTCATTTTAGCATACATTATAATTATAATTCTCTTTTTCTTCAAGTTAATGCTATTATTTTAATAGTTTCCTGAGTGCTTCTTTGAACATTTTCATTTATTTTCTGACTAATGCATTTGACTCTCAGTCTTCTAAGACACTTTTAACTCTGTTCTACTGGCTTTATATGTACTGACCTGTTGTCCCTCATGTTTTTATTATTTAATTTAAAAGATTAATTTCTTGGTAGTCCTGTCTAGGAGGACTATTCTTTTGTTGTTAAGTTTCTACTTTTTAAGTATCATGTTTGCCCTGTGTGGGTCAGAGAGGGACTGGGCCCTTTGTGACTGTGGGTGTTTTGTAGGAGATGGCTGTGGGGCTTGGGGATGGAAGAGTGGCACCCACTGTAGGCATGTCACAGGCTGTCACGGAGCAGCAGGGTACAGTGTGAGCAGTGGAGAAGGTGCCCAGAGGGACCCCATGGGGTTGTATGCTGCCTGTGGTCCTGGGAGATGGAGTGATCGCTCTGGAAGAAAAACATTCTGGAGTTTGTGGGGAGCAGACAGACTTCTGTGTGAGACCCATAGGAGACATGCCATGGAGGCTTTTGGAATCCTGGCTCACAGCTGAGGGGACGGTGTGGGGCATACAGAGAGCCACGTGCCAAGAGGAAGAGTTGAACCCAGGGGAAAGGGTAAGCTGTGGAAATACAGAGCTTCCCAGACCCACCAGCTTTATTTAATAAGGTCAGATGCTCTCGTTGACATCAGCGTTCCTGGATGGGAGGGCTGGGCTCTGTGAGGCCCTCCCCGGCCTGGACTCTGGGTGGCCTGCCATTCTCGATGTGTGGTTTCTGTCTCTTGCTATGTTGTCATGACTGCAGAGTTGGAAGGAACCCAGATGCACCTCGTGTGTTCTAGCCTGTGGATGCAACAGGGGACAACTTCATTTTAAGAACTGGAGGCCCAAGTTATGCTGACGTGTATCATGGTATCTGAGACCAGGTGTGTCTAACATGTGCCAGGTGACCCTCTCTGCAGAGGAGCTGGGCAATGCATTCTCCCGCTGGGCAGCCTTGGGCTCAGCCAAAGCTCTGTCTTCACGGAGAAAGGGAGGAAGGGACAGGGGAAGAGCTTCTGCCTCCATAGGCGAGGATGAGGACATAGGAGGCACTGAATAGTGGCCAGGAGAGGAGTGAGTGAGGACCTGGGGGTCACCCACACTTCAGAGTGAGGCGCACTTGCAAGAGTGTTGGCATCGTGTGAAGGCAGACAGCGCCACACGGTGTTGTGTCAGCATCGCTGTGTCAGTCCATTGACGTAGCGCCACACGGTGTTGTGTCAGCATCGCTGTGTCAGTCCATTGACGTAGCGCACACGGTGTTGTGTCAGCATCGCTGTCAGTCCATTGACGTAGCACACACGGTGTTGTGTCAGCATCGCCGTGTCAGTCCACTGACGTAGCGCACACGGTGTTGTCAGCATCGCTGTGTCAGTCCACTGACGTAGCGCACACGGTGTTGTGTCAGCATCGCTGTCAGTCCATTGACGTAGCGCCACACGGTGTTGTCAGCATCACCGTGTCAGTCCATTGACGTAGCGCACACGGTGTTGTCAGCATCGCCGTGTCAGTCCATTGACGTAGCGCACACGGTGTTGTCAGCATCGCCGTGTCAGTCCATTGACGTAGCGCACACGGTGTTGTCAGCATCGCCGTGTCAGTCCATTGACGTAGCGCACACGGTGTTGTCAGCATCGCCGTGTCAGTCCATTGACGTAGCGCACACGGTGGTGTCAGCATCGCCGTGTCAGTCCATTGACGTAGCGCACACGGTGGTGTCAGCATCGCCGTGTCAGTCCATTGACGTAGCGCACACGGTGGTGTCAGCATCGCCGTGTCAGTCCATTGACGTAGCGCACACGGTGGTGTCAGCATCGCCGTGTCAGTCCATTGACGTAGCGCACACGGTGGTGTCAGCATCGCCGTGTCAGTCCATTGACGTAGCGCACACGGTGGTGTCAGCATCGCCGTGTCAGTCCACTGACGTAGCGCCACATGGTGGTGTCAGCATCGCCGTGTCAGTCCACTGACGTAGCGCACACGGTGTTGTGTCAGCATCGCCGTGTCAGTCCACTGACGTAGCGCACACGGTGTTGTGTCAGCATCGCCGTGTCAGTCCACTGACGTAGCGCACACGGTGTTGTGTCAGCATCGCCGTGTCAGTCCACTGACGTAGCGCACACGGTGTTGTGTCAGCATCGCCGTGTCAGTCCACTGACGTAGCGCACACGGTGTTGTGTCAGCATCGCCGTGTCAGTCCATTGACGTAGCGCACACGGTGTTGTCAGCATCGCTGTGTCAGTCCATTGACGTAGCGCACACGGTGTTGTCAGCATCGCTGTGTCAGTCCATTTTCATACTGTTATGAAGAGATACCCGAGACTGGGTAATTTATAAAGAAAAAGAGGTTTAGGGGACTCAGTTCCACATGGCTGGGGAGGCCTCACAATCATGGCCAAAGACAAAGGAGGATCAAAGGTGCATCTTACATGGTGGCAGGCAAGAGAGCATGTGCGAGGGAACTGCCTTTTTATAAAACCATCAGTCTGGTGAGATTTATTCACTACCATGAGAACATGAGAAAAACCCACCCCCATGATTCAATTACCTCCCACTGGGTACCTCCCACGACACGTGGGGATTATGGGAGCTACAATTCAAAATGAGATTTGGGTGCAGACACAGGCAAGCCATATCAATTGCAAAGCCCACCGGGCATCCTTGTTCTGAGAGGAGCACCAGGCCGCGGGGTGAGCTCTGGGCCTGCTGAGCCTCCTGGACTCTGGCCAGCACAAGCCCTAACATCCATAGGTGCTGCTGCAGTGACAGTGGGGCGGTTCCAGCCCCTCCCAGCCAAGACCCAGGGCCTGCGGGGATGGGCAGCACTATTTCACTGTGGAAATGCGGGCCCCAGAACCAGGAGGGCCAGGGAAGACCTGGAGGTCTTGGCCGGCTGGGGCAGGGCGTTTTCACATGCTCTCAGTCACAGAGGCTGCGGTCTTGCCCTTACCCCGCTCCTCGCCAGCCAGCAGAAGCTCTGCAGCCTCATCGAATCTCAGGTTCTTTATTTGGAAATGGTGCAGCACACCTCTCGAGGGAGGACAGACTGCCATGGGCCCAGCGGAGGTCTCATGGCACTGGTGTCCTTCTTTCCTCCCTCCTCTGAGTTTTCTCCTTGGCTAGGTAGCGTTCCTTCTGGACCTTCTCTGCTTTGCTTTTTTCCCTCTCACCGGGATTTGGAGAGTGCTGCCCTCCCGGAGGTTGAGATCAGATTGCAGCCTGGCACGGAGGGATGATCATTTTTCGTGATGACTCATCCCTCCTCCGTGCCGTGCTGCCAGGCTGTCTGGCGGCCCTGCGTGCAGAGACAGTGATAGATCTGGAGAGCTGTTGCTGCTGGTCCGTGGTGACTGGGGATGGCATGTCAGGTGGAGAAGAATTTCCTCTGTGTGCGCATTTAGACAGGTGGGAGTCAGCATTTCTGTGTGCTTTTATTTTACAAATGCACCATCCATTCATTGGAGATGCAGTCTATCTACTCTTGCTCGTCAGCGTGCATGGTGAGCTGCGTCCATCCCAGTCTCCTGCTCCACCCAGGCCTCTGTCGTCTTCCTCTGGATCTGCAGGGACACTTGACAGCTTACTTCATTCTGTGTAGGGTTCATGCCTTTGCGCCATAGGCCCTGTGTGAATGGTGTCACAGAGGCCACCCTGTCTTTGGCGATGAAGGGCAGTCAGTGATAGACTCCGGGAGCACTGAGCTAGGCTGAGGCTTTTGGTGTGGGTGTGAGCTTTGCTCCAAGTGCTCTGGCCATTTTGCTCTTCTGAGGTACAGGCTGACAGCCCTGCAGCTTTGTTCACCCTGGTAGTGAGTAAATGGGTTTGACTTTACCCACCTGTTTCCCAGCCTCTGCCCTTGCAGCAAACCCAAGATAGGACTCCTCTGAACACGGCTGCATCCACATGTACCTTCTTTGCTGAGCTTGTGCCTCTGGCCACATCCAGCAGGGCTGGTTGCAGTTGGGGGCAGGTGTTAGGAGCACAGCGGTGAGCTGTTGTCATCGTTCCCTTGTGTTAAGCTGGCAGAGTCTGAGCACAAGTCACGGGAAGAGAAGTGTCCGGTAGGAACCCAGCTGGGCTGGTGGAGCAGGACTAGCTGAGAATCCAGAGACTGTGTTCTGCTTCCTGCTTCTCTCCCAGATCACCACGTGACCTCGGCTAGGTTCCTTCCCTCTCTGTGCTGCTTTTCCATCTGTGAGACTGGGTCTCCTGACCTGTTCCTGCCCTGACCCTTGGGGGAAGGTTGCTTCAGCTTTTACAAAGAGGGCAAGAACCACCAGTGTCTTTCTAGGAACAAACATATGACCTATGAGAAGATGGTTTCCATAATCATTATTATGTTCCCTGCAAAAGTTCCTCACTTAATTCCTGTAATTCTCCAAGGTCTTTGATTAACCCTTTTTATCAGTAAAGAAACAGAGACTAAAGATGAGCCAGCATTGGAGCAGAATCCAGCCCATAGTTGCCCGTTTTCAGAACCTTCTCTCCTTCACTTTATTGCTATTAGATTGTAAGAAGTTCAGATCTCAAGTACTCATGGTCAAATTACCATCCAGAGTCACGGATGTTTTACACGTTCACCAGCATTTCATGAGAGTGTCTGTGTGAGCGCCCTTCAGTCACACTGCGTCTTTTCTTTGTTCCAGCTTCAGAAGGGAGGAAAACACAGAAGACGAGGGCTGAAAGATGGCATTGGACTTGGCACAGGGATGGTCAGGAGGTCCTGAGTCACTTTGAGAAGGTACAAAGGAAGCCAGATTGAGCCAGCTTGAAGAGTCAGGGAGAGGGAGGGGTGGAGATGGCTGTGGAAAATGTTTGACTCTGAAAACTTGGGGTCTAGAAGGGAGGTGTTTGGGTTGCATCTTTAGTATGAGCTACTTGGTTATATTTAAAGCCTGAAAATGAGTTAGTAGAGAAACTTTGAAAATTAAGAGACAGAGAGCACGTGGATGCTGCTAGACATTGGTCCCTGAGGAGTCAAGAGGGTGATTCAGAGGATGGAGAGGTGCTGTTTCCTGGGAATGGGGGTGTCCTCTCATCACCACAGCACCATTGTCAGCTTACAAAACCCGTCTAGATGCTGCACCCCAGTATTTCCAGTCCCCCCAGTAATGTCTTTTATATTATTTTCCCTCCAGCACAGGATGTGGTCTGGGATCAGGTGTTGCATCTGCTTGTTGTGTGTCTGTCATCTCTGTCAATCAGGAACATTTTCCACAGCCTTTCTGTCACTTTCATGACATTGATGTTTTGAAGAACAGTCTCTTTTAATAAGTAGATGTTTCCCCCTTTGGGGCGTGTCCAGGGACTCCTGTGATAGGATTCACTCGGGCACTCTTGGCTGGCGCCTGCCTGCGTGGGATTGTGCTTCCTCAGGGCCTCACCTCGCCAGGTGCGGAGCAACGCTCTGCCCCCACGTTGGGATGTGAGGTTGCCGACTCAGTGCAGAGCTGTTTGGCTTCTCCCGACTTTGGTTACCACTCACGACTAATAAACCATCTGCAAGAAGCCCCTGGAAGACCATGCGGAAATCCTGCATCTTGTGACGTTTCCCCAGGACTTAGCCGTGGTTGGTTTCTGCCTTGACCCGTCTTTACTGTGATGGCTGTAAGTGGTGCTTGTGCAGCTCCCATGCAGACTTGGCCACCTGCTGGGAGCAGACCCCCCCCCCCCCCCCTTCTTCCTGGACTCCTGTGTCTTCATTCACCGCTGTCCTAGTGTCTAATTCATCACTGTCCTCGAGGATTTTGTGCTCAAATTCTCCTAGATTTGATCAGTGGGAGCCCACCAGGCCAATTCCCAGCTCCTTCCCTCTTTCGTTCCCACCTCCTTCCCTCTTTCGTTCCCCACCTTCCTTTCTCTTCCTGCTACCCTCTGCCTCATTTAAAGAAACAGTTTCCTAACTTTTCCATATAATGTTTCACACCCATCTTGTACCTAACCTACCCAGCCCTGGAGTCCACCAGATGTTTGAAGGGCTCTAGTTTTTGTAGTGTGAAAATGTTACCAAGGAACAATATCTGGGTACAAGGTAGGCTTATTGCTGTCGAGTGTCTTTGCTTCTAACCCTGTTAGGGGTCAGAGCTGGGAAATACGTGCATGTACACATACACACCTCTGTGTAAGCATACATACATGTAAGTGTGTGTGTGTGTGTGTGTGTATATATATATATGCACATATACATGCATATATGTGCGTGTATAAAACAGACAAGTCCCACAATGTCCTTTCTCTTCCTGTTATCCCCACCCCTTGTACATGACAGTGATGTTCTAAGGTGGTCTCTCACCAGCTCCTGGAGCCACTTCTGCACATCTCTTCCCAGCTCTGTGTTTAGTGACATCATGCGGTAGGTTGGAAGTCGCCCACGGTGGGAGGGTTTGCACATGGAAGGAAACTGGCAAACACTACAGGCCGGGTCCTCCCTCCCACCTCAGGAGCTGTTTGTTAAACGTTTGCTGGCATACCTCTAGGCAAACACATTTTTACAATTAGCCTTCCATATGTATGTTTTCTGTTTCTCTTCTTTTTTCTTTCTCACCTAAAATATACTAATGTATCTTGCTACATATGTTCTCTTTTTACTATTTTTATTGTAAACATATATAACATTACATTTGCTATTTAAGCTGTTTTTAAGCGTATAATTCAGTGGCATTTATTACATTCACAGTGCCGTGCCACCATCTACATCTCCCTTTTTGTACTTTGTGTTTTCTATTAAACAGCATCCCTGGAGTCGCTCTGTACCAGGGTGGAGTGATCGTCCTCATTCTTCCTTTTGCTTCCTCTGCTGCCCAGTGCTGCGTCCTCGTCTGGGTTTCATGATGGTGGGATGATGACGTAGTTTACGATATTTTGCAGTTACACCCAGTGCAGTGGTGAATAGCCTTGTGCACTTGTGTTTGTGTGTGACTGTATCTCCCGGAAAGGCCTTAGCGGGGTGATTGCTGGGTTCAGTGGCAGTGCTCAGTGCTCCTCCTTCAGTTAGACAGTTGCAAATCACCTTCAAGGGGTGGCCACCGCCCTCCATGACCACCACAGCCACACCATGGGGTCTGTTCTTCAGCTCATGACTTTTTGCTAAAGTGATGCCTGAACAGCGTAGCTCAGCGTGGTTTTAATTTGCATTTCTCTTCTTGTGAGTGAAGTAGAGCACCTTTTCATATGTTTAAGGACATTTTTTATGTCTCTTTTCATGTATTTTGTACATTTTTCTATAGGGTTTTTGGTCTTTTTTGTCCCCTCAATTTAAACATTTATTTATTTATTGGTATCTTAGAGATATTATTTCTTTTCCTGTGGAATATGCTGCAAATATTTTCTTCCATTTAGTATTTCTGTCATATTTTCTCATGTCATTTTGCTATGCCAAAGATTTTTTATTTTTATAGTCAAATTTATCTTTTATCTAGATTTTTAATTCACAATTAGAAAGCCTTTTTCTACACCCAGATTAAAGAGGAAATTACTCATGTTTTATTCTAGTACTTGTGTAGTTTAATTTTTTATTAGTTTATTTTAATGAATTTTTCAATTGTTGATTTTTTTCTATGGGATGTTTATTTTTCTATTTCATTAATCTAAGTTTTTATTTCTTCCTTTTTTTTCCAGTTTATGTTTCTGTTCTTTTTCAAATTTATATTGGATGTTTGCTCATTGATATTCAGCTTTTTAAAAATATAGATCAGCGTTTAAAGTTGTACATTTCCCTCAAAGTACAGCTTGTTGCAGTGCATAGATTTAGATATATAGTACTTTTATTATCCTTAACTTATAAATGTTGTCTTGTTTCTACTGTGACTCCTTTTTTGGCTTATGAGTTATTTAGAAGTATTTCTCAATTCCAAATACACAGAGCTTTAAAAATCATGTAAAAATATACATTTATATTTATATATACATAATTTTAAGTATTTTAGTTTCTAAGTTCACTGCATTGTGGACCAGGTGATCTCTGTGTTTGCAGTCAAAGGGCGGCTCACACATGGTCAAGTATTATAAATGTCCTGTGTATCTGACAATGGAATCTATTCTACAATTTTGAGTATACGCTTTCTGTATATGGCCATTAAGTGAAGCTTAATAATCTTGTCTTTTCTGTCCTCATAGATATTTTTATCTGTGGCATCCTCCTGTAGTCTCAGCATTTTGGGAGGCTGAAGATGAGAGGGTTGCTTGAGGCCAGGAGTTCAAGACAAACCTAGGCAACATAGCAACCCTGTCTCTCCAAAAAAAAAAAAAAAAAAAAAAATTAGCTGAGCATGGTGGTGTGCACCTGTAGTCCTAGCTACTCAAGAGGATCCTTGAGCCCAGGAGGTTGAGGCTGTAGTGAATTATGATTGTACCACTGCATGACAGCCTGGGTGACAGAGCAAGACCCCGTCTCCAAAAAAAAAAAAAAAAAAAAAAAAAAAAAGATGTTTCTCCAACTGATACATCAGTCACTATGACAGTTGTGTTCAAATATGCTGGTATGATTGGATTAATAGATTTGCCTATTTTCTTATATTTCTGTTCATTTCTGCTCTTAGGTCTACGTAAGTTTAGAATTATTATGGTATCTTGCTAATAAATTGAACCTTTTAATCTTTATGTAATGTAGTCTATCCTGATAATGCTTTTTGCTTTAAAGCAAATTTTGTCTGATGTATTTATCTAGTATATATTTTTCTTTCCCCTTTTTCAGTATCTCTGTATCCGAGTGTTTTAGTGAATCTTTTAAAATGGGATGTAATGGATTTTTGTTTTATCCTCCCTGACAATCTTTGCCTTTTAAAGACTAGAACATTTACTTTACTTTCATTTATTTTAATTACTTATAATTTGGACTCCATTCTACCATCTTATTTTGGACTTTCTATTTAGCTCAACTTTCTTATTTTTTCTTCCTTCCCTTCTTTTGATTGACAGATGACTGTTTTACTCATTAGTTTTCTCCTTCACTATGTAATTTCGGTTTCTCTTATTTTTGTGTTTGTCTTATATGTATGCTTAATTTATCAAGGTCCAGAATTAATTAGTACTCTGTCCACATTCCAGAGAATGAAGGAGTCTCACAGTGCTCACCTCTGATTATTCTCTCCTGACTTGAATGGCATTTTCATTCTCAACTGTTGTATTTTTAATATTGTGCAGCTTTCTCCATCATTTTATACACTGGTGCCTGTTTAGATTTACTCATATCTCACCACATTCATTACTATTTGTTTCCACTTTTACCACAGATAATGCCTCTTCTAAAATGCATCGTGGTGAGAATGTGGGTAAAAAACTATTTTTAACTGAAACTTTCTACCTTCTTTTTTTCAAAACCTGTATTTTATTTTTAATTTTTAATAGGTAAAATGTATTTTACTTATTAGGTCATTCTGAAATTGTTTTACCCAAGACTGCTTTCCAAAATTAAATTTTAATGGAAAAATATTGGCATGTGGCATAGAAAAAGCTCGGACTACAAGTTTAGGAGTAGTGATGAGTCTTTGTTCAACCTGTATATAATATTATAATGAAAATAGTTATGATAAGAATAGTTCAAGTACCCAGTAAAAAAATTAATGCTGAAAAAACAAGAAAACTTTTAAATTATGTCCTGGAAATCTAAGGTATTGACGTATTTGTTGTATCTTTGCCAGTACAGTTTTTTTGATTTTGGTGATTAATCTCAGCGTCTCGTTTCTTTTGCTTCGGTTGTTTAAATTAGGCCTGCTAACCTACCCAAATCTGCTGGTGTGTCTATTTGTGACTACCAGAAATTATCTCAGGTTTTCAGCAGCATTTAAAAAATATTCCCTGTTGATATAGCTAGAAAACAGCTAGAAAATATTCGTGAGTTTTAAATTTAGCATGACACCTTGTATCTTCTCACAGCCACATAAAGACTTAAATGCTAATTGCCTGTGTATCCCACATTAGAGTTTAGTAGAGAGGTTGAAAATCTAGTAACAGAGAAGCTAATACTAGCTCCTGCTCCTCTGGGTTGAAATTCTGGGTAGAAGATTATTTTCTTAGAGCATGGAAGAGATTTTATTCTACTGTCTTTGGCTTCCATTGCTATTGAGAAGCCATCTTTCAATTTAAATAATACTCAGTTCAAGGAATTTCTATTAAAATTTTGGTTACTTTTAAGATTTTCCCTATGTCTTTGGTGTTTTACAATTTTACTATGATGTATTTAGGTGTAGATTTCTTGTATTTATCTTGCTTGGGATTGTTCTTGGTATCTTTTTTAACATCAAGTATATTGAGATATAATTTATATAGTATAAAATTCACCCTTTTAAGGATACAGTTTTATGAGTTTCAACAAATTTATGCAGATATTAGCTATCAACACAATCATATTATAAATAGAATATTTTCACCAGCTCAAAGTTCCCTCATGACCCTTCTGAAGCCCCTGACAATCGCTGATCTGTTTAACTGCAGCTCTGCCTTTCTCAGAATGTGGAATCATGCAGCATGTGACATTTTGACTCTGCTTTATCCCTTGCCCATGATACTTCTGAGATGCATTCATATTGTTGCTGAATAATTTTTGATAAATATGCCACAATTTGTACATCCATTCACCTATTGATAGAAATTTGGAGATTTACAGTTTTAGAGATTATGAATAAATCTGCTATAAACTTTCTTGTACCGGTCTTTATGTGGATGTATGTTTTCATTTTTCATAGGTAAATACCTAGGAGTGGGCTTTTCTAGATCACATGGTAAGTGTGTGTTTAATTTTGTAAGAAACTCCCAAGGAACGCATTGTCCCAAGTTGCTGCACCAGTCAGTGTACATTCCCACAAACAGTGCATGAGAGTTCCTGTTGCTTGTGAAATAAATGGTCAGCATTCAGTGTTGTCAGCTTTTAAAATTTTCTCCTTTCTAGTGGGCATGTAATGGTGTCACATTATAGTTTTAATTTGCATTTTCCTGGTGACATGTGATACGGAACCTTCCTCCCATGCTTGTTTCCCATCTGTATGTCTTCTTTGGCAAAGTGTCTGTTCATACATTTTGCCCATTAAAATTAAAACATTTTATATTGTTTGTTTTCTTATTGTTGATTTGTGAGGGTTTGTTATATGCTATGAATACCAGTCATTTATCAGATATGTATTTTTCAAATGTTTTCTCCTAAAGTATGCCTTGAATTTTTATTTTCTTAATGTCTTTAAAGAAACGGAATTGTTTAATCTCGGTAAAGTAAAATTTGTCATTTTTTGTCTTTTATGGTTGTATTTCCTGTGTCCTAAGAATTCTGCACATTCCCAAGGTCACAAAGATTATCTCCTGTTTTCTCCTAGAAATTATATAGTTTTAGGTCTTTAAATTAGGTCTCTGATCTATTCCCCATCCCCCATCCATTTTGAGCCACTTTAAGAATATATAGTGCAAGATTAGAGTTGAGGTTCACTTTCCCCCAGGGATGTACATTTCTTTGAGCATTGTTTGTTCAGAGATCTGTTATCTTCTTCACTGGTCATCTTTGCTCTTTCACCAGACAGCGATCTGTGCTGGCATCTGTCTGGACTCTGTATTCCAGTCCACTGCACTCCATTCCTGTCTTCTCACTGGCACCAAAGTGTTCTGTTTACTGTAGCTTTATAATAAGTCTTGAAATCAGGTACAATGAGTCCTCTAATGTAGGTCTTTTTCAAAATTGTTTTTCCTATGAAGTCCTTTGCTTTGATTCTAAAATACAAATTTTAGAATCAGCTGTCAATTTCTACAAAAAAAGACCACTGAGATTTTGATTGAGATAGTGTTGGATCTGCAGAACAATTTGGGGAGAATATGCATGTTTTTAAAACTTTTATTTCCATTTTATCTTGTTTGTATTAAGATATAATTCACACACCATAGACTTCAGTGGTTTTTAGTATATTCGCTAGCGTGTACAGCCATTATCACTATCACCACCCGTAAAACAACCCCAGGAGCAGTCACTCCCCACTCCTTCTTCCTCCTTTCTGTTCCTATGGATTTGCCTACTCTGAAGTTTTGTATTAATGGAATCATACAACATGTGGCTTTTGGTGTCTGATTTCTTTCACTCAGCATATTTTCAAAGTTTATGCATGTTATGGTATGTATTAGTACTTTATTCCTTTTTATGGCTGAATAATATTCCATTGTATGGATGGACCACATTTTGTTTATCCATTATAGTTGACGGGTATTTAGTTCGTTTACACTTTTTGGGTATTTAGTTTGTTTACACTTTTTGGCTATTATGAATAATGCTTCTACAAACATTCCTGTACAAGTTTTTTATATGGACATATATTTTAACTTAGCTTGAGTTTATATGTAGAAGTAGAAGTGTAGTGTCATATCTTAACTCTGTGTTTACCTTTTTGAGAAGATGCCAAGTGGTTTTTCACAGATGCTGTACCATTCGACATTCCCACCCACATGTGTGAGCGTTCCGGTTTCCACACATCCTTGTCAACACCCATCTTCTATTTCTTTATGGTACAGCTATCCAAGTAGGCCTGAAGTAGTATCGTGCTGTGGTATTGATTAGCATTTCCCAAGTCACTAGTGATGTGGAACATCTTTTCTTGTGCTTATTGGCCATTTGTATATCTTCTTTGGAAAAATGTCTATTCAAGTTTTTTGCCTACTTTTAAATTGTTTGTTCTTTATTGTTGAGTTGTAGGTTTTTTAAATATATATATTCTGGATACTAGACACTTTCAGAGATAAGATTGCTATCAGTTTTCTTTCATTTAGTAGGTTGTCTTTTCATTTTCTTGGTAGTACCTTTTGACAAACAAAAGTTTTTAATTTCAGTGAAGTTCACTTTACCTGTTTTTTCTTTGGTTGTGTGCAGTTAAGTCATAGCTAAGAAACTACTGGCTAATCCGAGGTTATGGAGATGTACACTGGTGTTTTCCTCTAAGAAGTTTGTAGTCTTAGCTCTTACATTTAGGTCTTTGGCCCATTTTCAATTAATTTTTGTCTGTGGTGTGAAGTAGGGGTCCAGAGTCATTCTTTTGCATGGGGATATTCAGTTGTCACAGCACTCCATATTTAAAAAGATGATTATTTTCCTATGGAATGGTCTTAGTATTCTAGTCAGAAATCATTTCACCATAGATGGGAGGGTTTATTTCTGGATTCTCAATTCTAACCCATTGGTCTATATATATTCTTTTTTTTTTTTTTGAGACAGAGTCTCACTCTGTAGCCCAAGCTGAGGTACAGTGGTGCGATCTCGGCTCACTGCAACCTCCACCTCCAGGGCTCAGCTGATTCTTGTGCCTCTCAGCCTCCCGAGTAGCTGGGATTACAGGCGTGCACCACCATGCCCAGCTAATTTTTTGTATTTTAGTAGAGACGGGGTTTCACCATGTTGCCCAGGGTGGTCTCGAACTCGTGAGCTCAGGCAATCTGCCCGCCTTGGCCTCCCAAAGTGGCGTGAGCCACCGTGCCTGGCCAGTCTATGTATATTCTTAAGTCAGTACTATGTTTTGGATCCTGGAGATTTATAGGTTTTGAAATTGACAAGGGTGAGTCTTCTTAGTTCTTCTTTTCCGAAATTTTGACTATTTTTTTTTGTCATTGTTGCATTCCATGTGAATTTTAGGATCAGCTTGCCATTTCAATAAATAATGGCAGATCTGACAGTGATTGCCTTGAATCTGTAGATACATTTGGGGAGTATTGCCATGACAACAATATGAAGTCTTTCAGTCAGGAACATGAGATGGCTTTGTGTTTATTTAGCCCCTCTGTGATTTCTTTCAACATGTTTGATAGTTTTCACAGTGCAAGTCTTGCATTTTTGTTAAACTTATTCTAAGTATTTTTTGCTTTTCCATGCTATTATAAATGTAATTGTTTTCTTAATTTTATTTTGGGTTTTTCTTGGCTAGTGTATATAATAAATATAACTCATTTTTATATATTGATCTCGTATCTTGCAATCTTACTAAACTTGTTTTGTAGCTCTAATTATTTTTTTACAGTTTCTAACCCACAGGCTCTTTATTTCTTTTACTTCTCTTAGGGTACTTACTGGGATCCCCAGTGGGATGTTGATTAGAGATGGTGAGAAGGGACATCTTTGTCTTGTTTCTGCTCTTGGGGGAAGCATCTGGTTTCTCACCTTAAGTATGATGATAGCTTTTTATCAGGTTAAGGAATTTGCTGAAAATTTTTATCATGAATGCTAGTTGAATTTTGTCACATATTTTATCTACATCAATTAAAATAATGTATGGTTTTTCATTTTTAATCTATATAATGGCAAATTACTTTGATTTTTGATTGTTGAGCGAAGGTTTCCAAGTTAAATCCTACTAAGTTATGATGTGTTACAGTAAAGGGATTTTGTTAAGAATTTGTGCATCTATATTCATGGGGGATTTGGGTTTGTAGTGTTCTTTCCTTGAAGTGGCTTTGTATAGGTTTGCTGTTAAGATAAATTTGACCTCATAAAATGATTTGGGAAGGATTTCCTCCTTTTCTGTTTTCAGGAGTTTGTGTGAAGTCATGTTTTATCTTTCTTAAATTGTTTATTAGAATTTGCCATTAAAGCAATTTGGGCCTGGAGTTTCTTGTTGTTGTTGTTGGAGAGTTTTTAAACTGTGAATTCAGTTTCTTTAATTGTTATAAGATTTTTTTCTGTGTGGATCTGAGTTTTTGTTTGATATCATCCGGAACAGCTTCCGCTAACATTCCATGTTTTTTATCTTGTCAAATATCACCTCTGCCGCATTATTTTTCTCTTCTTTGGAAACCTCAGTTACATTATGTCAGACGTTCTTACTCTGTACTTCTCATCATTTCTTTTCATATTCACCTTCCTTCTCTGGTTTTTACTGTAATCCACAGTAGACAGACAGAACACAGCCCAGAGGGACAAAGAGATATAAACTATTCAAGAGAAGATTTCAGACATGGAGAGACATGGACAAGTTATAACATATAATTCATTGGTTTTCCAGAAAGAGAAGGGGGGACAATGGAGTAAAAGTAACATTTGGAATAATGGTTAACAGTTTTCTAGGGTGTGTGAAAGCCACCAATCTACAGTTTCAAAAACTCTAACAAATACCAGCCTGGTGAAATGAAGTCTATATTTAGACATATCATGGTGAAACTCTGGAACACCAAAGACAAGTACAAGATCTTAACAGAGAGAAAAGACATTGCCTTCAAAGAAGCAACATTAAGGCTGACATGGCTTCTTACTGGCACCAGTGGAAAGGAGAAGATAGCTGGATAATATCTAACGTGCTGAGAGAAAAGAACTGACATTCTATTAGGTTGGTGCAAAAGTAATTGCAGTTTTTGCCATTAACCTGCAATTACTTTTGCACTAACTGATATACTTAATATATCTTTCAGGAATTATAGAAAAATAAATACATTTTATACAAACACAAGTGGAGATAATTTGATACCTATAGGACTTTATTAAAAGTATTTCTGTTTTTCTAGAGACAGGGTCTCACCACGTTGCCCAGGCTGGAGTGCAGTGGCTACTCATAGGCATGATCACAGTGCACCACAGCCTCGAACTCCTGGGCTCAGTCCACTCTCCTGCCTCAGCCTCCTGAGCACCTGGAATACAGGCATGCACCACTATGCCTGGCTACTAAAAGCATTTCTAAAGGACCTATTTCAGGAGGAGAGAAGGTTGTCTTCTATGGAAAGTCCGAGCTCTAAGAAGGCATTATAAACAAAGTTGTATGCATGTGAGTAAATTGAACAGGCTTGAGGCAGATGTCTCCTGGGCTAAACCACAAATGGTAGAACTAAAATAATTGACTCCAAGGTCATGTCAGCAGGAAGGGAATGGAATTAAAGAGTTTTAAGGTCCTGGGATTGCGTGGGTAGAGTGTGGGGACATTAGGCTTTGATAAGTTATGTAATTAAGTTTAGAGTAAAAAGAAAAAAATGTATAATGGGGAGAAAAATCCAAAAGAAGGCAAAAGAGGATAGTTGAACACAGAAAGATGAGAAAAGTAGAAAACACAACATAAAATAGTAAATAAATCCAGACATATTGGAAATGTCTAAAATATTGATGGGCTAGATGATTTAAAAGTTCCATTGAGGCCGGGCGCGGTGGCTCATGCCTGTAATCCCAGCACTTTGGGAGGCTGAGGTGGGGCGGATCACTTGCAGTCAGGAGTTCGAGACCAGCCTAGCCAACATGGTGAAACCCCGTCTCTACTAAAAACATAAAAATTAGCCTGGCATGGTGGCGGGTGCCTGTAATCCCAGTTACTCGGGACGCTGAGGCAGGAGAATCGCTTGAACCTGGGAGGCGGAGGTTTCTGTGAGCCAAGATTGCGCCATTGCACTCCAGAGAGCGAGACTCCATCTCAAAAAAAAAAAAAAAGTTCCGTGGGAAGAGCTGCTCCTCAGAACTCCACTGTCTTTTAGCACAGTGTTGCCACGTGGAGCCTTTCAGGGCTCTCTCCTCAGCCTTGGATTTTCTGAACTTAAGCAGGACATTGTTCCTTGGGTCCTTTCACTCTGAAGACTTATTTCTTCAGCCCGGGGAATTCTATTCTGTCGCCTTTTTGAATGCTGTTTTCTTTCTTTCCGCTCCATGGTCATTCCTTCTGGACCTCTTTGGATCTGTTACTGTCTCTTTTTCCCGTCACCTGCATTCTGGAGAGTGCCTTGGCTTCATCTTCTCACTGTCTCTTTGCTCGCAAGCTGTGTCCATTTTACTCCTAGGTTCACATATTAGGTTTTTATTTTGACAACATTTTTCCTTCTCAGGGTGTCCACTTGCCTCTCTTGCCTGGACAGAGCATGTGACGGTCACCTTGGACGTGTAAACTAGCGCTTGCCACTTGCTTTGTATGTTCTCAGATGACCGTCCCTCCTTCCAGTCTGGCGTCTCTCTTTCATCACATTGGCTTTCCTCAAATACTGTTTCTTTGTTACTCAGTGAGGTTTGTGTTTCCAGAATGCCTCTTGGCCTTTCTGTGGGTGTGGTTGGTCTCTGGTGAGGACAGTAGGTGAGCCGCGGGATGCTTGTCCTGTGGACGTGAGTGTCCTGGGCCTTGAGGGTGCAGTGACTGCCTGAGGCGCTGGCCCTCCCTTCCCCTCTCTGCCAGCCTTGACCTGGAGCAGACACCACCACTGCCACCGCAACCAGGGAGGATGTCGGAAGGCCCAGCTGCCCAGCGCAGCTCCCGTTATCCTGATGGCATCTTGTAACTGGTCTCTCTCTGTGCAACTCTTCCGTGGAATGCACTGTCATTCCTGACACAGGCTCGTGCATTGTGTATTCTGTTTTCGTTGCAATTGTTTCTCCATCAATTTCATCTGCCTCCTTTATTTTCTATTGCTGTGTAACCAATGCAAAACTGAGTGGGTTAAAACAACAAATATGTATTATCTAAGAGATTTTATGAGTCCAGAATTCAGGGGTACCTTTCGTGGGTGGGTCTGGCTTGGGGTCTCTTTTGAGGCTGCACATCAGCTGGACAGCCCACTTCCAGGGTGCTCTCACAGGGCAAGGGCAGGAGGCCTCAGCCCAGCACCTTGCGGCCTCCCCACAGGGCTGCGTGCGTGTCTGTGGGATTGCCATTCACTTTTCCTGAGCAGGCGATTGGAGAGAGAGAGAGAGAGAGCAAGGAGGGGTCACGGGGCCTGCATGTCCCAGTCTCGGGTGTTACACCCTGTCCCTTCTGCCACACTATGTTCTTTCCATGTGCGTTACCAAGTCAGTCCTGTCTTAAGGGAGGGTAATTGTGCTTCACCTTTTTCTTTTCTTTTCTTCTCTTTTTTTTTTTTTTTTGAGACAGAGTCTCACTCTGTCACCCAGGCTGGAGTGCAGTGGCATGATCTTGGCTCAACCTTGCAACTTCTGCCTCCTGGGTTTGGGCGATTCTCCTGAGTAGCTGGGATTACAGGCGCCCACCAGCACACCCGGCTAACTTTTTTGTATTTTATTATTTTTAGTAGAGGCAGGGTTTCTCAGTGTTGGCCCGGCTGGTCTCCTGACCTCAAGTGATCTACCTGCCCCAGCCTCCCAAACTGCCGGGATTACAGGCGTGAGCCACCACGCCCGGCCTGTGCTCTGCCTTTTTAAGAGAGATGTATCCAACAATCTGTGGGCATTTTCTCAAACCACCTCACTCTCATTGAGGACTTCTTGGATTTTCCACGTTCGCCTTGTAGGTAAGGCCAGCAGCAACCCTTCCAGGGGGTCATGTGAGCCATGGCTTTTCTGTCTCATCACTTTTGTGGTTACTTTCATTGCCTTTTCTTTTAGGATAGGTTTTCTCTAGGTAATTTAACTTAAAGGGACAGTAAGTATCCACATCTTCCTTGCTGCTTGTTTAGGATTGAGGTTGACACATACCTCTTAGAAGGCCGGACGTTTGGTCACTGGAGCAGCAGTGCTCGGCGACTCTCCGGAGGTGCCCCCTCTGGCTTTCCGCTCGGTCAGCTGAGCCGCACAAGCAGCAGTGGCGCTGCCCCTACATGGGGCATGCTTTGCAGGGCTGAGGTTTTGCAGTTCCCACCATTGAGGGCTGTAACATTTCTCTATTTCTGGCTTAGAATGTGTGTAGGATGATAATTATTTATTCAGCATTCATTCCGCTCACGCTGTGCTCCGACCACACACCAGGCTCTGCGTGCGGTGCTGGCACAGTCTCAGGACTCCGCTTCTCAGCTGTAGGGCTCAGGGTGCAGTGGAGAAGGCGCGAAGGGGCTGCCCGCGGATGGATTTGTTCCCTTGGCCTTTCACTGTTGCTCCTCTCACTCTCTTCTCCTAAACTCGGCGTAGAGGAGCATCCTCAGGAGAAACAGGAAGAGGCAAAGTTCACTGCAAAGTTTTTTTTGGGTTGAACGCCTGTAGGATAAGAATAGCAGAGGGCACCCCCAGATGAGATGCGGCCGTGGTCGAGCATCAGGATCGTCTGCCTGCGCCCACCAGTGTGGTCCGGGAGCAGGGAGGTGGCAGAGCCAGGGCCGCGCCCTCCCCGCGGGTCTCCCGTGCTGCTCGCTGGCGGTTGGTTTCATCAGTGCCCTGGCGAGTGTCGCTGGTTGCACGTGGGCACTGCCCACACAGAGCGAATTCTCAGGCAGGCCCCCTTCCTCTCTCTCCCCGGAAGCTGCTTCATGGCACTCCCTCCCTTTGCCCTTGGCCGTGGGAACCTCTAGGTTGATCACTGGGTCATTGGATCTGCTTTTAGTTAGCCTTGATTTTTGTCTGCATTAAACAATTAAATGAGCTTCTAATAATACGGTGTTTTGAATGTCATACATGGCTTTTCCTGTTGAAACATCTGCAGAAAAAAAATAGCTTTATTATTTGTGAGTGAAGCTGTCTAGCTCCTCCCTTTTGTTCTTAGTGAGATAATTGCTTTTGTAATACAAAGTTTCTCATTCTTTTTTTTTTCTTTTTTTTTTTTTTGTTTTTGAGATGAAGTTTTGCTCTTGTTGCCTGGGCTGGAGTGCAATGGCGCAATCTTGGCTCACCGCAACCTCCGCCTCCCGGGTTCAAGCGATTCTCCTGCCTCAGCCTTCCGAGTAGCTGGGATTACAGGCATGCGCCACCACGCCCGGCTAATTATGTATTTTTAGTAGAAATGGGGTTTCTCCATGTTGGCCAGGCTGGTCTCGAACTCCCGACCTCAGGCAGTCTACCCGCCTCCGCCTCCCAAAGTGCTGGGATTACAGGCGTGAGCCACCGTGGTCGGCCAGTAATACAAAGTTTCTTGAATTCAACAATTGTGCTATAGCAAAACAAGCTGGCTGTGTATTAGTTAACCCGCCAAGTGAGGGGTGCTGCATGTTCTGACCCTATTTCTGACCACTTCCGTTAACCCTGCTGCCCACCATGGAGCCTCTCTCAGAAACTTCAGCTGCAGGCTGAAGGCAGGGGGCTTGCAGAGAAGCTTTTGCTGCAGTTTTCTGGACGGTGGGCAGGCAGCTGTGCTTAGGAGTACACCTGGGGTACATGGAGTCAGCCAGCTCAAGAGTGTTTTCAAGCTTTTAATTTAAAACAAATCACAGAATGTAAAAAATAGCTTTATAATGTTAGTTTTCCATTTACCACATTCTAGCAAGGGAAAGAGTGGTGCCATCGTCTGTGTGCTTGCTAAGTGATAATTATAAGCGTGGAGACAGATGTGCGCTTCCTGGGAACGGGCTGGGGCTATGCCGGAGAAGCTTTGCTCTTGGAAGGGGGGAGGTCTGGGAGTTTGGCTGCAGAGCCTTGGAGCTGGACAGGAAGGATCAGTGGTCGAGGCCCCGGGTGGGCCATGGGGCCTGGGCCAGCCTGTGGCGAGACGTGGACTTGCTGCTGTCCATGTGTGAGTACAGCCCATAGAATGGACACCTGCTGGTGTGTGTGCAGAGGGCATGGGTGTGCCTGAAACAGCATGGTGCAGGGTCAGTGGGCAGCTGCTGAGTTGGGGATGGTGCCCTTTAGGGGAAGGTGGGGATAGACAGAGAGGCATGAGCAGATATCCCTGTGGACTTGGGTGACTGGGCACCAGGGTGACCCTCCAGGGGTGCCAGGATATCTGTGCTGAGAGGAGAGGGTGGCCAGGCTGGGGCCTGGGAAACCCTTCCCACAGCACCATCTGCATCATCAGGTTGGGGCGGGCATTGGCCAGATGAAAACAGGTGAGGTAATCAGATTTTTTGTTTCATAAAAATTATGGTCCTGAAGTGAAGTTGGTAGAAACAACAAGTTAAATAGGAGGACAGCTCAAATAGAGAAAACCCCTCAGTCACACCAAGTCAGCAGCTACAGTGAGGAGCTGCGAATGTGCTCTCCCGGCGGGCTGGGCCTGCCAGACCCCAGGGTGCGCGCTGCCCCTCCCCGTGGGGCTCCTGGGACTGGTGAGGGCACCGAGGACAGTGCCATGCTGGTCCTGGGAGGGTTTGCCAGCGCGGCTCTTCCATTGTCTGCCTTCCTGAGGGGTCGGGGGCTTGTCTCCTGGCTCCTGCCTCCTGGATGGTCCCTAGGAGGCCCCTCATGTCCAGACATCGGCTTCAGTTTAGGGCTATGGGGACTTCCACAGGGACGACTGTTCTCTGGAGTAACTGTGGATGATGTTGATAAGAAAATACAGAAACAAGTCATTCCTCCTGAATAAGCACTGGCGATGTGCTTCCTTCATGTTCCTGAGAACGGGGAAGGCTCAAATTTTGTTCAGTCTCATAATTGTGCTGAAAAATAATGTATTCAAGTGGACGCCTTCAGAAGTCTCCTGGAGCCTGGAAGGATGAGTGCAGTAACGTTAATGGTCAGTGATGTTGGATGTGGGCTACTGTGCCTTTTAAATGTGGAAATGTTGGCACAGTTAAAGCAGCATTTTCTCCCATGGTCTTGTCTCCTGTGGGACTGACGTGGGTCCGTACAACATCGTCATCCACGGCTTCACAGTCCCAGGCTGAGGATGTAGGGAGCAGCGGCATTGACCAGCCATCCTTAGTGAGGCGCCTGCCCTGCAGACTGGCCGCTGGAGTGGCTGGCCACGCTTTGATGTGTTGCTGTGCCTCACATGACTTTCTCCTCCTCAGATACCACCAGCGATGGACCGGATTGTGCCCCCAAGTTCACGTGTTGAAGCCCAAACCCCTAGTATGACTGCTTTTGGAGTCGGGGCCCTTGGGAGGTGATTAAGGTTACTGAGGTCATAAGGGTGGGCCCGAATTTGAGAGGACTATGGCCTTGTAAGAGGAGGAAGGGATGCGAGAGCTGTCTCTCTCTCTGCACCCATGTGAGGACACAGCAGGGAGGCAGCCATCTGCAAAACCGAGGAAGAACACCGGCACCAGATTCCAACCCAGCCAGCACCCTGATCTCCATTTCCAGCTTCCGTGGAAGCCCCCAGTCTGTGGTGTTCTGTTATGGCAGCTGAGCAGATGAAAGCACTTTTTACCTCACGGTTACACTTTTGGGAAAGCAGCCTGCAGTTGGCCTGTGTGAGCACAGGCCCCAGCAGATGCCCACAGATGTCCCCGTCACTCATTGGTCATTGAAAAGACTGGAGGGAAGAGGCCGATTTCCTCTCAACAGGAAAGGTGTGTAGCTGCCAGGACTCTGCCTATCCTGAGAGTCTCCTTTCTCCCTTAGGGCTTCATAGCCAGTTAACTTGTGCATTATTTAGAGCTTTTTCTTTCTTTCTTTAAAAAAAGAAAAAACCAAATGAGAAAGCCAACACAATCAACAACAACAACAAGAGTGGTATCATTACAGTCTGTCAGACACTGACTAGAAACATGTTCACTTTCACACACACACTCACTCACTAACACAGTACTCAGTTTTGACCCTGACAGCAGCTCTGTGAGGGGTCACTCCCCTCCCCCCTTTTAATTGAGGCATAATTCACATAACATAAACTGTGCCGTTTTCAAGTGTATAAGTCAGTGGCATTGAGCACAGTCTTCATGCTACGCAGCCACCACGTCTGCCTACTTCCAGAACATTCTCACCCCCCCAAAGTAAAGCCCTGTGCCCGTTAAGCAGTCCCTCCCAATCCCCCCTTTCCCCAGCCCCTGGCAGCCACTAGTCTAATTTCTGTCTACAGATTTGCCCATGCTGGGTATTTAATATAAATGGAACCACACAGCGTCTGGCTTCTTTCACTTGCATCCTGTTTTTGAGGTTTATCTGCATCATCGTAGCATGTGTCAGAATTTCATTCCTTTTTATGGCTGAATCATGTTCTGTTGTATGAATATACCACATCCACTTATTGATTAGTGACATTGGTTTTTTTCCTGCTCTTCGGCTATTGTGAATAGTACCACCATGAACATTCTTTTACAAGTTTTTGTTTGACACCTCTTTTCAGTTCCTTAGGAGTGGACCTGGGGGACACGTAGAGACTCTGTGTTAACTGACTGAGGAACCACCAGACCGTTTTCCACAGCAGCCGCACTGCACTGTTTTGCCTTCTTGAGGTGGCACTTTTTTATCCCCATTTTAAGAAATGGGGCATGGGGAGGTAAAAGGACTTGCTCAGGATAGGACAGACCTTCGTGGTGAGGCAGCTCTGTGCTGGCCAGTCGGGAGGCCATGGCAGGGTCTCTGCTCCTGCTCCGGTGCTCATGTCAGGCCCCAGGCCCCTGCAGGTGGTGCCCTAGAGGGCACTGACAGGCTCTCAGAGAGGAGGGGGCCTGTGCTGGTCCTGAGCAGGCAGAGGGAGGGCTGTTAGAGGGGCAGGCAGTGTGAGCAAGGGCACAGATCCTGCTGTTGTTTAGTGAACTCTAGCAGGTTTGTTTTTGCTTGATTGTTTGAGAAGGATGCCTGTAGTTTTAGGACCAGTGTCACTACCCACGTTGGCCACAGGCCATGGTGCCAGTGTCCTTGCTGCCACGATGCACCAGCTTCTGTCTTGCAGGTGGCTGGCTGCTTCCCTCCCAGCTGCACTGGGGCACACACTGTGGGGCAGTTGCCTTCTCACCCTTTGGTGGGGAGAGCCTGGGCTGTGGGGTGCCTCTGTGTGTGGCCGTGTGGTGCCTGCTGAGGCCTAGCCCTGCGTGGGCCTTTGCTGATGCTCCCTGCGTGGGTGGCAGTGAGCCACCCTCACGTTTCTCAGCGAAAGCACTTGGACAAGATGAAGGTTTCCAGCACTGCGAGACTCTCACGTCTGTTATATTGTGTTATACTTGGCTGTGGTTTTGCTTACAGTAAATTCCTGAAGGCGTTTCTGTTGCTCAGTGGAAATCACTGGCAGAATTCTTGTTACTGAGCATCAGACTGTGGGGCACCGTCATGGTGTCTTAGGGGTGTCAAAGCAGATGCATTTGAGGGGAGATGTATTCACATTTTCCAGTATATCATTACCACATTCTTGTGTGATAGCTTCCTGGTAATTCAACTTGATTTAGTGTAGTACAGCAGCACAACTTTTCCTTTCTGAGTTGTGGAGATTTAAATTTGTTGAGCAAAGGAAACACTGAAGAGGACTCAGAACACTCCAGTTGAGTGCACACACTGCATGAAGCTGATGGCTCTGCCTCCTGCTACTTTTACCCCATTGCACTGGTGTGCTTTGCCCTCCCCATGGTGGCAGCAGGCTTTCCCAGGGCGCCATCTGCAGTTGGAGGCCTGGCTGAGGACGTGCTGTGCCTGCCCTGTGAGCAGGGAGCCAGGCACCCCTGGCCTGCAGTGCTATCGTCCCCTCGTCTCCACGACAGGCACCTCTGCCTGTTCCGTCTGACTCGGGGATGCCAGAGCTCCAAGGCGCAATCAGGGCATGATGACCGATGGCAGGAGGTGAGCACGTGTCAGGACTTCCAGGAGGACGGTGTCTCTGCTTCTCTGTTCAGGGCTGTTTGGGGATTGTTACCAGAAGTAAGGTTCAGGCTTTGTGTGGCACTGGCTACAGACTGCATTGCCTGTGCTGACTTAGCTCAGCCTCAGCCCCTCTTTCATTTGTTTCTCCACTGAATCCTTGTCTTCTTGCATTCACTGGGCATTGGCTAAGGCCCAGCTCAGTTCCAGGGCCCCACAAGACACTGTGGGTGGCATGAGATGGGTGGGTTTTCCCACAGTGCTCTCCCATGGTTATTCTGTTATTTGAATTGAGTGTACACAGGTTTCTACAGTTGAGGGAGTGTTGGACGACCCATTCCTCAGGGTAAAACTCGCCCTCCCAAACCTGTCCCTGAGTGCAGGTGACAGTGCGTGCTCACCATTAGAAGACGCGGGTGCTCACGCAGGGCTGTCTGCTGCCTGTGCTGGGACTGTGGGCGCATCGCCTGTGCGTGCAGCTGGAGCACCTGCGTCTCTGAAATGAAAGGGATCTTCAAATGGGCGGCCCCTACTGTGCTTTGTTCAGTTTAATTCTTAGAACCGCCTATCCAGGCCGGTCTTGTGTTCCCCCTACAGAGGAGAGAACTGGTGTCTGGACCTTTTAGGTGCCTTCTCTGAAACTCTGGGTTGGCGTGCAGGCCAGCCTGCCTCTGCCCCACCCATGGTTGCAGGTTCTCTCTGGGGTCCTAAAGTCCTGCATTTCTGCCTTGCCAGGTCTTCACTCTGGCTGGCCGTCTCTCGTAGGCAGGCCTCTGGAGTGTAACTAGTGTGTGATATTCAGGGAGGGAAAATGGGCCGCTCGTTTCACAAGTGATAGAAATGTGACGTGACATATTTCAGAGAAAGCTTAACAGTACGGCAGCTCTGTGACTCAGCCCAGCAGAAACTGCATCTCTTGTTAGGAAAAATACACTTTATTATTGAGTCTGTGGGAAGACAAAATGGAAGAAGAACTTTTCTGGACATTGTTTAGCCTGCAGGAGGTTTTGTTTAGCCCTGAGGCACACAGTGGGCCGTGGAGATGGTAGTGCTCACCACCACAGGACATGGTGAACGCCGGGGGGTTGGCAGGTGGCGGCCTCGTGTTGGACATGGTGCATAATCGACGGCGACCCGGCCTCCCTCCTTGTGTCCGTCTGAACGGCGCCCCTGAACTCCGCCGAAGGGGCGCCTCCTCTCCCCTGAAGTCAAATTAGCGAACAGAAGATTAAGAATATGGAAAGTAAATGAAATTTTGATCATTTCTTCTCATGATTACAGTTCCTCTAGACTTTATCTAAAGCTATTTTGAAGCCAAATATAATTTTTTATTCATATTTCCTTTTCTTTTTAGACTATCGTTTTACAATTTTTAATCTCTTGTTTCATTGAGTTTTTCTTTTCCTTCTTGTCTCTGAAAGCACATAGCAGGCCATTGACTAAAATAACCTGTTTCTTTTTGTGCATATTTCTGAACATGCATTCTTCTACCTTCTGCTGTGTTGTTGTGTTTTTCTTCATGTGGCAGAGATTTTTTTATGGCTTCTGTGTTTCTTTCTTTCTGTTTGCTGCTCCCTGAAGGAGAAGTCAGTGCTGGTCTTGCCTTCTTCCCAGCGTGCATGTATGGACATTTTCTGCTGTGAGCCCTCATTTTTCACCGGGATCTCCTTTAAGGTTATTCGGACCCTGAGCTGGATGTGAAAGTAGCAGGAGGCAGAGCCATCAGCTTCATGCAATGTGTGCACACCAGTTCTGGGTCCCCCCCAGCCTTGTGGGGTGCTGAAAGGGGGCTTGGTGGCCTCTGGTCCCATGTGGCACCCTGTGTGGCTGGGGCCAGCCTCTGCAGCCATGTATCCCCAGCATCTCCCTCACCCACTGCCTCCATGGCACACTGCTTTTCAGGAAGGGCAGGAGAGGGGCCTCTAGAACCCGCTGCCCATGCCGTCACATGGGAGCTTGCGGAGGGCCCTGCATCTGTGCTTTCCAGTGGTTTGTTTTCCTGATTTCTTCAATCAATTCAGTGGAAATTTGGGAAAGATGGAGTGTAAACATGTGTGCCTGAATCACCTGTCTCCCTTAGCCAGTCCTCATGTCCTGGCCGGAAGGCCTGCTCTTCCTTCCCCCTGGCTCAGCCAGGGGTCTGCATTGCTGTCCATTGATAGAATTGTTGGTGCTTTATGATCCAGCTGCTCTTGTTGCCTTGAACCAGGATTTGAATATTGTAACATTAAGTTTTTTGCATGTTTATGTCCAGTAGATTATGTATTTTGAGACTAGACAGTGGGCTAATTAATATTCCACACGGGGTCCCATGGGACGCATGTTCATGATGAGGTCACTAAAGTTCTGTCTCAAGCACATGGTGGGCGTTCAGTAAAGACTTAGAGATTTCGGTTGACCAGACATTTAGCATTAATTAGCAGTTTAGTGTGGTGGGTGACTGAAAAGTAAATGTAAGCTTTGAGCATTTTCAGAGCATCATTTTGTCTAAAATTAATCAGTATATTTCACCGTCTTAACAAACTAAAAACGAAAAACAGTATCATTTTAGAATATGCAGTGAGATCATTTGACAAAATGCAACACTCCTTTCAGATACAAACGTTCAAGAAACTGACAATAGAAGGAATCTTCCTCAGATGCATGGTATTTATGAAAAATCTAGAGCTAACCTCGTATTTGATGGCGCAAGACTGAATACTTTCCCCTAAGATGAGGAGTAAGGCAAGGAAACCTGCTCTCATCTCTTCTATTCAGTATTTTACTGGAGGTTCTAGCAAGTTCAATAGTCAAGAAAGAGGCATTGGAATTGAAAAAGAAGAAGTAAAACTGTCTTTCCTCTCAGTCAGCATGTTTGACCCTATAGTACCTACTGCAGAATCAAAACAAAGCTCCTGAACTAATGAGTAAGTTTATCAAGGCTGCAGGATGTAAGATCAGCATACAAAAATCAATTGTATATCTGTATACCAGCAACAAATAATTAAATATTAAAGTAAATTATTAGTTTTTTGTTAACCTATTTATTTAATTATACAAATTTATGGGACACGTGAAATTTTGTTACATGTGTATAATGTGTAGTGATCAAGTCAGGATATTTAAGGTGTCCATCACCTGAATACAATATAGTTTTGTTAAATACATTCACCCTACTCTGATATTATTGGGTTTATTCCATCTATCTTACTGAAGGTTTGTAATCCACTTCCTTTCCTCTTCATCCTCTCCCCTAACCCCCATTCACCCTTCCTAGTCTCTAGTATTTATCTTTCCATTGTGTACCTCCATGTGATCAAATTTTTTAGCTTCTACATATAGGTGAGAACATAAGATATTTGTCTTTTTGTGCCTGGCTTATTTCACTTAAGGTAATGACTTTGAGTTCCATCCTTGTTGCTGCAACTGACATGGTTTTATTCTTTTTTAAGGCTGCATAGTATTCCTTTGTGTATATATACTACATCTTCTCTATCCATTCACCCTTTGATCAATACTTAGGTTGATTCCATATCTTATTATTGTGAATAGTACTGCAATAAACATAGGAGTGCAGGTACTACTTTGATATACTGATTTTATTTCCTTTGGGTAGATACCCAGTAGTGGGATTGCTTGATTTAATGGTAATTTTATTTTTAGTTTTTTTGAAAAATCTCTGTACTGTTTTCCATAGTGGCTGTACTCGTTTACATTCCCACCAATGATATATAAGTATTTTCTTTTTCCTGCATCCTCACCAACACCTGTTATTTTTTTATTATGGCCATTCTATTTTTAATAACAGCCATTCTGAATGGTTCAAGATGACATCTCATTGTGGTTTTGATTTGCGTTTCTCTGGTGATTAATTATGTTGAACATTTTTTTCACATACTTCTTGGCTGTTTGTGTGTCTTCTTTTAAGAAATGTCTATTAAGGTCCTTTGTTCACTTTTTAGTGGGACTATTTGTTTTTTTCCCTTTTGATTGAGTTCCCTTTATATTCTGGATGTTAGTCCTCTGTCAGAAGAATAATTTGCAAATATTTTCTCCCTATTCAACAGGTTGTCTTTTCACTCTGCTGATTGTTTTCTTTGCTGTGCAGAAGCTTTTTAATTTAATATAGTTCCATTTGTCTATTTTTGTTTTTGTTGCCTATGCTTTTGCGGTCTTAGTCATAAATTCTTTGCCTAGACCAATGTCCGGGAGAGTTTTCCCTAGGTTTTCTTCTAGTATTTTTATAGTTCCATGTCTTACATTTAAGTATTTTTATAGTTTCAGGTCTTACAGTTAAGTATTTTTATAGTTTCAGGTCTTACATTTTAAGTATTTAATCCATTTTGAATTGATTTTTGTGTATGGTGAGAGATAAGGTCGAATTTTATTCTTCTGCATGTGGCTATCCAATTTTTTCCACCACCGTTTATTGAAGAGGGTGTCCTTTTCCCCCAGTGTAAGTTCTTGTCAGCTTTGTTGAAGATTATGTTGAACATTTTTTCACATACTTCTTGGCTGTTTGTGTGTCTTCTTTTAAGAAATGTCTATTCATGTCCTTTGTTCACTTTTTAATGGGACTATTAAACCAGAAGCTTTGTGGTTTTATTTCTGGGTTCTCTATTCTGCTCCAGTGACCTCTGTGTCTATTTTTATATAAGTGCCATACTGTTCTGGTTACTGTACCCTTGTTATATATTTTGAAGTCAGATAATGTAATGCCTCCAGCTTTGTTCTTTTTGCTCAGGATTGCTTTAGCTATTTGTGCCCTTTTTTGGTTCCATATGGATTTTAGAATTTTTTTTTCTAATTCTGTGAATGAGGTTGGTATTTTGATAGGGCTTGCATTGAATCTGTAGATTGCTTTGGGCAATATGGTCATTTTAATGATATTAATTCTTCGTATCCACGAACATGGGATGCTTTTCCATTTGTGTCATCTTCAATTTCTTTCATCAGCACTTTGTAGTTTTCCTTATAGAAATCTTTCCTTTCCTTGGTTAAATTTATTCCTAGGTATTTTGTGTAGCTGTTGTAAATGTGATTGTCTTCTTGATTTCTTTCTTGACTAGATCACTATTGGTGTGTGGAAATGCTGCTGATTTTGTATGTTGATTTTGTATCCTGCAACTTACTGAATTCATTTATCGCATCTAAAAGTTTTATGGGGCCGGGCGTGGTGGCTCACACCTGTAATCCTAGCACTTTGGGAAGCTGAAGTGGGCAGATCACAAGGTCAAGAGATTGAGATCATCCTGGCCAACATGGTGAAACTCCATATCTACTAAAAAAAAATGCAAAAATTAGCTGGGCGTGGTGGTGCGTGCCTGTAATCCCAGCTACTCGGGAGGCTGAGGCAGGAGAGTCCCTTGAACCTGTGAACCGAGATTGCGCCACTGCACTCCAGCCTGGCGACAGAGCAAGACTCCATCTCAAAAAAAAAAAAAAGAAAAAAAAGTCTTTTTGGTGGAGACTTTAGTTTTTTCTGGATAAAATTATATCATCAGCAAAGAAGGACAATTTGACTTCCTCTTTTTCAACTTGGTTTCCTTTTATTTATTTCTCTTTCCTGGCTGCTCTGGCTAGGACTTCCAGTATTATGTTGAATAGGAGTGGTGAAAGTACGTATCTTTATCTTCTTCTAATTCTTAGAGAGAACACTCTTAGCTTTTCTCTAGTATTATGTTGGTTGTGGCTTTGTCATATATGGCTTCATTATTTTGAGGTATGTTACCACTATGCTTAGTTTGTTGAGAGTTTTTATCATGAGGAGATGTTGAATTTTATCAAATGCATTTTTGCATTTATTGAGATGGCCATATGGTTTTTATCACTCACTCTGTTATGTGATATATCATGTTTATTGATTTCTGTATGTTAAACCATACTTGTATTCCTGGTATAAATCTCACTTGATTATGGTGTATTATTTTTCTGATGTGCTGTTGGATTTGGTTTGCTAACATTTTGTTGAGCATTATTGTGTCTGTGTTCATCAGGGATATTGGCCTGTAGTTTTATTTTGTTGTATTCTTGTCTGGTTTTGGTGTCAGGGTAATGCTGCCCTTGTAGAATGAATTAGGAAGATTTCCCTTCTCTTTGATATTTTGGAGTAGTTTCTGGAGGATTAGTATTAGTTTTTCTTTGTACTTTTGGTAGAATTCTGCTGTGAATTCACCTGGACCTGGACTTTTCTGTATTGGGAGGCTTTTACTACTGATTCAGTCTCACTATTCCTTATTAGTCTGTTCAGGATTTTTATTTCCTCCTGACTCAGTCTTGGCAGGTTGTATACTTCCAGGAGTTTATCCATTTCTTCCAGGTTTTCTAGTTTGTGAGTATATAGCTTTTTTTTTTATAATAGTCTCTGATGATCTTTTGTATTTCTGTGGTATCAGTTTAATTTAAATGCCTCCTTATTCATTTCTGATTTTGTTTTCTTTGGTTCTTCTCTCTTCTTTTTTATTTAAAAAAATTTTTAGAAACAGGGTCTCACTCTGTTACCCAGGCTGGAGTGCAGTGGCATGATCACAGCTCACTGCAGCCTCAAACCCCTGGGTCAAGCAGTCCACCAGCCTCAGCTTCCCAAGTAGCTAGGACTACAGATGGGTACCACCACTCCTGGCTAACTTTTTAAATTTTTCTTTAGAGATAAGGTCTTGCTATGTTGCCCAGACTGGTCTTGAACTCCTGGCCTTAAGCAGTCTTCCCACACTGCAGCTCTCAAAGTGCTGGGATTATAGGCATGAACCACTGTGCCCAGCCTTCTTCTTTTCTTGGTTAGTCTAGCTAGTGGTTTATCAATTTTGTTTATCTTTTTGAAAAGCCAAGTTTTTGTTTCATTCATCCTTTGTATTATTTTTCTGGTCTGTATGCCATTTAGTTCTCCTCTGATTTTTATTATTTCTTCTCTTCTGCTAATTTGGGGTTCAGTTTGTTTTTGCACTTCCAGTTCCTTGAGATGCATTATTAGACTGTTAATTTGTAAGCTGTCTGCTTTTTTCAGGTAGGCATTTATTGCTATAAAATTCCCTCTTAGCTCTGCTTTTGCTGTATCACACAGGTTTTCGTATGTTGTGTTATTTTCATTTGTTTCAAGGATTTTTTTTATTTTCATTTTTTCTTTATTGACCCAGGAACATACTGAATTTCCATCTATTTGTGTAGTTTCCAAAGTTCCTGTTGGTATTGATTTCTGGTTTTATTCTGTTGTGGTCTAAGAAGATAGTTGATATATGATTTTTAAAAATTTTTTGAGACTTGTTTTGTAGTCTGTCCTGGAGAATGTTCCTTTCATGTGCTGATGAAAATGAATATTCTGAAGTTGTTGGGTAGAGTGTTCTGTAAATGTCTGTTAGGTCTATTTGGTCTGAAGTCCAATTTAAATCTAATGTTTCTTTGTTGATTTTCTCTCTAGAGTGAAAATCAGTCTCTGAGAGTGGGGTGTTGAAGTCCCCCACTGTTTTTGTACTTGAGTCTCTCTCTCTCCCACTGTTTTTGTACTTGAGTCTCTCTTTCTCTCTCTCTCTCTCTCTCTCTGTCTGTCTCCCTCTTTAGATCTAGTAATGTTTGCTTTATGAATCTTGATGCTCTGGTGTTGGGTATATATATATATATTTAGAATTGTTATATCCTCTTCCTGGATTGATCCAT